>NC_000006.12:102495032-102646547 GCF_000001405.40 Homo sapiens | reverse complement strand
CAAGAAAAAGTCCCCTTTCATTTTTCCTCTGCTTTTCTCAAGCAGAAAGAGTTTTCTCTCATAGCCACCCAAACTGGTAATGTGCTGAGTCTCACCAGAAGCCAGCGAGTCTCAGAGGCTCACCCAAGGTCTTCAGTGTTGTTCCTGGGTATAGCTAATAGTAATTCAGGACCAAATAATAATAATAATAAACAAAAAGCATGCCAGGTGACATGATCTTATATCTAGAAAACCACATCATCCCAGCCCAAAAGTTTCTTAAGCTGATAAGTACCTTCAACAAAGTCTCAGGAAAAAAATCATTGCGCAAAAATCGCAAGCATTCCTATAAACCAAAAACAGGCAGAGAGCCAAATCATCAATGAGCTCCCATTCACAATTGCTACATAAAGAATAAAACACCTAGGAATACAGCTAACAAGGAAAGTGAAGGACCTCTTCAAGAAGAACTAGAAATCGCTGCTCAAAGAAATCAGAGAGGACACAAATGAATGGAAAAACATTCCATTGTAGACCATTCCACTGTGCTCATGGATAGGAAGAATCAGTATCATGAAAATGGCCATACTGCACTAAGTAATTTACAGATTAAATTCTATTCCCATTAAACTGTCATCAACATTCTTTACAGAATTAGAGAAAAACTATTTTGAAATCTTTCTGGGAACAAAAAAGAGCCTGAATAGCTAAGACAATAATAAGTAAATAGAACAAAGCTGGAGGCATCAGTCTATCATACTTCAAACTATACTACAAGATTACAGTAACCGAAACATGGTTCTGGTACCAAAACAGACACATACACCAATAGAACAGAATAGAGATCTCAGAAATAAGACTGCACACTTAGAACCCTCTGATCTTCAACAAACCAGACCAAAACAAGCAATGAGAAATAATTGCCTGTTTAATAAATGGTGCTGGGACAACAAGCTAGCCATATGTAGAAAATTGAAACTGGGCCCCTTTCTTACACCCTTTATAAGAATTAACTGAAGACTGATTAAAGATTTTAATGTAAAACACAAAAATATAAAAACCCTAAAAAATATCTAACAGTACCATTCAGGACAAAGGAATGGGCAAAGATTTAATCACAGAAACATCAACAGCAATTGCAACAAAAGCAAAAATTGACAAATGGGATCTAATTAAACTAAAGAGCTTCTGCACCGCAAAAGCAACTATCATCAGAGTGAACAACCTACATCAGACAACTTACAGAATGGGAGAAAATTTTTGCAATCTGTCCAGCTGAAAAAGGTCTAATATCAAGAGTCTACAAGGAACTTAAGCAAATTTACAAGAAACAAACAAACAACCCCATTAGAATGTGTCTGTTCAAAGGACATGAATAGACACTTCTCAAAAGAAGACATACATGCACTCAACAAACACACAAAAAAGCTCAACATCACTTATCATTAGAGAAATGCAAATCAAAACCATAATGAGATACATCTCACGCCAGTCAGAATGGCTTTTATTAAAAACTCAAAAAACAACAGATGCTGGCAAGGTTGTGGAGTAAAAGGAACACTTTTACACTGTTGATGGGAGTGTAAATTTGTTCAACCATTGTGGAAGACAGTGTGGCAATTCCTCAAAATCCTAGAGGCAGAAATATCATCTGACCCAGCAATTCCATTACTGGGTATGTACTCAAAGGAATATAAATCATTCTATCATAAGGATACATGCATGTGTATGTTCATTGAAGTACTATTATGATAGCAAAGATATGGGATCAACTCAAATGCCCATCAATGATAGACTGGATAAAGTAAATATGGTACATATACACTATGGAACACTATCCAGCCATTAAAAAAAGAGATTATGTCTTTTGCAGGGATATGGATGGAGTTGGAAGCCATTATATTCAGCAAACTTGCACAGGAACAGAAAACTAATCACTGCATATTTTCTCTTGTGAGAACTGAACAATGAAAACACATGGACATATGAATGGGGAACAACACACACTGGGACCTGTTGGAAGCGGGTAGATGGGGGTAGGGAGACCATCAAGAAGAACAGCTAATGGATTCTGGCCTTCATATCTACGTGCTGGGATGACCTGTGCAGCAAACCACCATGACACATGTTTATTTGTGTAAAAAACCTGCGCATCCTGCACATGTAACCTGGAACTTAAAATAAAAGTTGAAGGAAAAAAATGCATCCCAGGAACCAATCTTGCATTCCAGGAAAAAAAAAAAGTCTACTTGATTATAGTGAATTAAAATTTTGATGTGCTTCTGGATTTGGTTTGCTAGTATTTAATTCAGATGTTTTTCATATGTTAATCGGGAATATTGGCTTCTAGGTGTTTTTTGTTTGTTTGTTTGTTTTTTATCTTATTGTACCTTTGCCAGGTTTTGGTATTAGAGTGATACTAGCTTCTTAGAATGTGTTAGGGAGGACTCTTTCTTCTTTGATTTTTTCGAATAGTTTCAATATAATTGGTACCAGCTCTTCTTTATATGCCTGGAAGAATTTGGCTGTGAATTAATCTTGTCCAGGGCTTTTTTGGTTGATATGTTTTTTATTAGTGCTTCAATTTTGGAACTCAATATTGGTCTGTCCAGGGACTCATTTTTCTTTTCCTGATTCAGTCTTGGGAAGTTGTATGTTTCTAGAAATGTATTAATTTCCTCTAGATTTTCTAGTTTGTGTGCATAGATGTATTCATAATAGTCTCTGAAGACCTATTTTATTTCTGTAGGATCGGTTTTAATTTCACCTGCCATTTCTAATTCTGCTTATTTGAATATGGAATTTTATGCTTTATTATCTTGAAATCTCGTTGTCATCAGTTTATCTGTTTTCTTTTTGGCAATATTTATTTTTTCTCCCCTCTTTTTATTTTATTCATATTTTTACATAGTGATTTTATTTATTTATGTTTCCCAATGAAAATATTTTGACTTCATCGATGAGCTAGTCTCTGAATTTTTTCTTCATAATATGTGTTTAATATAAAAATTATTCATTATTTATTTTTAAGTTTATTTTCTTACATTTTTCTAACTTCTTGAGTTGATGTCTTTGCTGAGTAATTACTTTTTTTGTATTTTTCAATAAATATATTGAGTCTGTAAATTTACTTAGAAGCTTTGTAATAAATTTTCATTTATTTCTAAATATACTTCAAAGTCTGCTTTATTTGATTTTTAAACTAAATATTTATTTGTCTCAATGTTGGTTTCTTAAATTAAATATCTGGGTAGTAAGCTTTTCTTGTTTCTTGGCTATCCTTTTGTTAATATTTCTCATACTAGTCAATTTTGATCAGTAAATGTATTCTGTAAGAATTTTCTTATTTAGAGTTTGAAGATTTATCTTCATGATAAAATACATTGATTTGTTTGAATTTCTTATATGTTTGCTAGTTTTGCATTTATCCTCTAATTATTTATTAATTTAGTGCTAGTTGAACACTTTCTGGGAATAATATTTAAAGTTATCTCCCCATATGATTATACACTTTTCAGATTTGTCTTTATTTTACTAATTTAGAATTTGTCAAAACTTTGTAACTTAGTAAACTAATGTTTTCCTGTCCTATATTATGATAAGTATTCTATTTTAGCATCCATTAATATTTTTGTTTTAAATTTATTTTCAGTAGATAGCCTTTGCTTCATGTTTTCTTCCTTAATTTTGTTCTTTATGTTCAGTTTTTTCTTTTTTTCTCTTAAAGTACATATAGCTGAATTTTTAAAGCTATTATAAAAATGTTTATTTTATTAAAATTATTTAAACTTTTAGATTTATGGTCATTATGTATAAGTTTGTAATTAGCTGTGCATAGCATTACTTGCTTTTTACTATGGTTTAGTATTACTTTTTGTTTATTTTTATGGTTTTTTAAACAATCATATTTTCATATACTATTTTCATTCTATCATTACATTACATACATTTTTTCTTAATTTTTGAATGCAATTGTTTATATACTACTTTGAAATCTTTTGATCTGTTGATATTTTACTCTAGTAATTAAATGGCCTAATTTAAACTTTGATGTTCTTCCAAAAATAGCATTACTTAATAAGAAATTATGAAAAAGTAAAAATTCCAACTAAAAAATTAAGAAAACTGAGAAGTTAGTTTGTAACACAGCAAGCCGCTAAATACAAACTCCACTTGACATTCTAACATAGAGTCACAATGTGCAGTCCTCTGTAAATGACAGATGATGCTATTCTCTCATCATTCATGGACTAGCCCTTTGAGTCAATTTCTTAAATATTAAGAATTTGGGTTGACCCAAGCACAAGGTTCCATCCAAACTCTCCTATAACACTTAGCTCTCATTTTAGGGTTAGCTGCGGTTGTGTAATCTATGACCATGACTTGATTTGTCATGGTATTGGGGTATACTTAGTTTTTGCAGTTTTGTTCAAATCTATTTTCTTCATGATTCACACTACTCTATAGAAGGATAATAGAATGCCATTAACAAGTGGGAAAATTTTTGAAAATCAATACTTTGATGGCTTCAAATTGCAATATAAAAGAGATAGTTATAAAGGAAGACTTCAATATTAGTAAAACTAGTTCAGTTATCTAACTCAAAAACACAGAAATAGAAGCTTCTCATATATTATATATACACATATATGTACATACATACACACATACATATGTATACATATATTCAATCTAAAACAAATATACCCAGAGCAGAAGATAATTTTCTACCAAATATATTCTCAGAAGAAGAAAAATTGCAGATAAATTGAAAGTCCTAGCAGTTTTACTCATTTTTCTATCTCTGTAGAACTTATGAACCCCAGGAACTGTTCGTTCAAATTAACAATAATACAGATAAGAATGCAGTAGGCTAGAGGAAATGATTACTTACACAATTTTCTAGGCATCTTGAATAAAGGCATAGGAATGTGAAACCTTGATATAAATTCCATTTATCATTTTCTCTCAAGGTATGACATGCCCTGCCTCCAGGGAGACTTGAGAAATTTTGCAGAAGTCCCTTCTGTATCCTGAGACCCACACAACACACATGTGATATAATATTGGTGCCTCTTCTAAAATTAATTGTCTAGATTTTAGAGACAAAATAAGATTCTTGATATATTCGAATGAAAGTGTCAATGAAAAACATTGTTTTAGTTGATGCTAGATTAACATAAATGTTCTGATTTACAAAGAAATTTCATTGAAGAAGAGTAGACGCATTTTATTCTTAGTACATTCTGTGAATCTCTTCTACTCCATTTTCATGCTGCTGATAAAGAGATACCTGAGACTGGGCAATTTACAAAAGAAAGAGGTTATTGGACTCACAGCTCCCCGTGGCTGACGAGGCCTCACAATGATGGCATAATGATGGCACGTCTTACATGGTCGCGGCAAGAGAGAAGAGAATGAAAGGGGTCTCCTCCTATAAAACCATCAGATCTTGTGAGACTTGTTCACTACCACAAGAACAGTATGGGAGAAACCAACCCCATGATTCAGTTTCTCTCCGACTGGGTCCCTCCCACAACACATGGGAATTATGGGAGTACAATTCAAGATGAGATTTGCAAGAGAATACAGAACCAAACCGTATTATGGTCTAAATCATATACTGAAGCCAATAAGAAAATGTTTACTTACAGAGTCCAGTGAAATATTCCAAGGCTTTAAAATACTTGTTTGTGCCTTTCTAATATTTGTGTATTAACTTATGCAATATCAGAATGAATACAATCATTTATAAAACACTAAGAAATATTTTACTGTAACATGACCACTTTATTAACACACACACACACACACACACACACACACACACAATGTAGGATTGGCATTTTAAAAGTATCATTGACTTCTTGTCCATTCATGCTATGATCTAAATGTATATGCCCCCCAAAAATTCTTGTAAAATCCTAATGTCCTATGTAGTGGTATTAGGAGGCAGGGATATTGGGAGGTCTTGAGGGTAGGCCCCACATAAATAAGATTAGAACACTTACAAAAGAAGCTCCAAAGAGATCTCTCACCTCTTCCACCATGTGAGAACATAGAAAAGACATCCACTTATGAACTAGAAACAGGCCCTCACCACACATCTAATCTGCTAGAGCCTTCATCTTGGCCTTCTCAGCTTCCAGAACTGTGAGAGATCAATTTCCGTTGCTTATAGGCTACCCAGTCTATAGTGTAATTGTTATAGTAAAGTGATTAGAGCCAAGACAGGTAGTGTGAAAATAGAGAATTTTGACAGCCAATATTTAAAACCTCAGGGAATGAGTAAGTGAAAAAAATACGTATCTCCTGAATAATGACATTACTTATGTATTTGAAAATCTTTTTACATAAACCCATACTCATACAAAATTGGCATTCAGTGAATTCTTATTGAATAAATGAATGGATCAAATAAGTAATCTTGTATGTTTGAAAATTTTGTTACCGATAATGTTAATAATAATAAACAATTTTTAAAAGAGGGTGTCAGAAAAAGCACAATGCAGTCAATGTAGTAGGAATAGAAGTATCTAGATAGTTTAGCCTAATGTAGTAATAGAATAAATTATTTTTTATTGCTTGGTATGTTTTTTCATGATCACTAAAATGAAAATTAAGTAAGGTTAGGTGTAAATATTTGTGATTAAATGATCATGCATTATGCATGTCTTAGTCCAGCGTTTTTTTCCTACTCATAGAGAATATGACTTTTGGCTTTATTATAAAAATAGAGTGATTTTTTTCCAGTGGCATGCAAATATATATTTTATTTTATGTATTTATTTATTATTATTTTTTAAATTTTTGTTGGTACATAGTAGGTGTATATATTTATGGGGTACATGAGATGTTTTGATTCTGGCATGCAGTGTGAAAAAGCACATAATGAAGAATGGGGTATCCATCCCCTCAAGTATTTATTATTTGAGTTATAAACGATCCAATTATACTTTTTTTTTTTTTTTTTTGAGACGGAGTCTTGCTCTGTCACCCAGGCTGGAATGCATCGCACAATCTCGGTTCACTGCAAGCTCCGCCTCCCGGGTTCACGCCATTCTCCTGCCTCAGCCTCCCGAGTAGCTGAGACTACAGGCGCCGGCAACCATGCCCGGATAATTTTTTGTATTTTTAGTAGAGATGGGGTTTCACTGTGTTAGCCAGGATGGTCTCCATCTCCCGACCTCGGTATCCGCCCACCTCGGCCTCCCAAAGTGCCAGGATTACAGGCTTGAGCCACCCCGCCCAGCCAATTATACTGTTTAAATTATTTAAAAATGTGCAATTAAGTCATTGTTGACTATAGTCACTCTATTGTGTTATCGAAGAGTAGGTCTTATTCATTCTTTCCGTTTTATTTTGTACCAATTAACCATCCCCACCTGCCTCCGAGCCCCTCACTATGTGTCTCAGCCTCTCTGGCAACCATTCTTCCGCTCTCCATGTCCATGAATTCAACTGTTTTGATTTGTAGATCCCACAAACAAGTGAGAACCTGCATTTTTTTTTCTTTGACTGGCTTATTTCATTTATTCAGTTCCATCAATGTTGTTGCAAATGTTGGGATCTCATTCTTTTTTATTACAGAATAGTACTCCACTGTGCATATGTACCACATTTTATTTATTCAAGCTATTGTTACAGCTTTTATATAAAAAGAACAATTGATAGTAGTTTGTATAAATAGTATTCTGTAAAGTTTAAAAAAATTTATATTTTTAGTTTGGCACTGTTTTTAACCTAATTTTAGGTGGATAGATTTAATCAATCTCTGGGCATAATAGAACCAACAAGCCTATGCACAAAATAGCATTTTTGGTAACAATTTTAAAATATATTTCTGGATATCAGTATTCATCACGAGAGATTACCAATTTGTTTTTCCCAATGTAAATAAAAATAATGTAGAGTAATTTAAACAAAGATTCTTTATTTTCTGAAACAGTTGATGAATTAAACATTTGTCACTAAATGTGTGGTACAAAATCTCAAATTTGTTTACATAAATAGTATAATTGCATATACATTTATTTTATACAATAATATTCAGGTTTTTTTTCTAATGAAGTAACCAATATTCAACCCTGGGAAACTAAGAAAAAATGAGGTATTAATTAAATAAAATAAGTCAGATAATTTTAATTCATATTGACATGTTATAGGTCCTATTTAAGTTGTTTTTGTCCAAAATTAATATGTTTTTGCCCAACATTGTTGTGGTATCTCAGGATAATATTTTGTCCAATGTTAATATGTTGTGTCAGGAAAACAATTAAGTATAATATGCCCAATTGTTACCACTTGAGGGTGTACAGGTTCTTGGCATTTTGCAAAGAATTGGACAAAATGCACAAACAAAGCAACAAAAGAAAAGCACAGATTTATTGAAATGAAAGTACACTCCACAGAGTAACAGTGGACTTGACCAAGTGGTGCAAGAGCACTGGGTACAGAATTTTCTGGGATTTAAATCCCTCTAGAGGTTTCCCATTGGTTACTTGGTTTACACCCTATTTACATAAGGTAGTGGCCCACAACAAGTCTGATTGGTTGCAGAAGGCAACCAATGAATGAGATGCTGAAGTGAAGTTACAAAGTTACACATGAAGTCTTGGCCTGTGACCAGTCTGATTGGTTGCAGGAGGGTGCCCATAGAGGTAATTTTATTTTTCATTTGCAATGCAGACAAAGTAGGGGGATTGCAAAGCAAGTAGCCTCTGATCCTTTTGTTACTTGGGTGTGAAGAGGTGGATTTTCCTTTTGATTCAGTTTTAGGAAGTCAGTGTGAATCAGCCTGAGGTTCCTTGCCTCCAGATCTTATTCTTCTGCCTTATTTCCCCCCTAAGAGACATGATCCCCATAAATCTCTATGGGGGGGCAGAGGGACAAAGGGTATTTGTTTTAGTTACTGCTTCCTGCTGACTTGGAGTGCAGTACCTACCTATTGGGGATCATGGAACTCTTGCCAAGCTCTGTCTAGTGGAGACAGAGGACCTTCTTGATGGCTGACAGTGTCTTCATCTGGAACTGCTGGAAACCTTTTCTCATGATTGTCTGAAGCTTGATGGAAATTAACTTGGTTAAAAGATTTAACAAACATGGTCCAAAAAACAAGGCAATTGTAATTATTAATAATGGGCTGGCCAAGGGGAGGAGCCATGAAACCTAACGCAGTGCCCTTCACCAGTAGCCTAATGACTCAAACAGCTGTTGTGATATTTCAGAGGCCCAGTCAGCTAGTTTTTGGGTGTCATGTCTTATTAATCTTGATTGGTTGACATTAAAACAGCATTTGTTCTCTAGGAAAAAGTCATAAGCCACCTTTTTCAGCAGTTAGGAGATCTAGTCCCATTCTATTTTGCAAAGTGACCACTGCCAAAGAGTCTATTTGACTTTGTATGGTAATGATACCTTGGGAAATGTCATTCAAGCTTTTCATAAAATCACTGGACAAGCGTTGGTAATAGGATAGGGAAGTTGCAAGCCTGCCAACTCTTATTCCTACTCCTGCTGCTATTCCTAGCCCTACCAAAGGGGTATAAGTTGGATGGCTTGTTTGTGTCCATTGGTTGAAGTTAAAGGTATAATGAGGGATTGGTTGTTGGGTACTATATTAATTTTGAGACCTATGATATTTCTCTCTCTGGTCTGCCATTTCCTCCAAAGACAAATCATGGCAGAACCAATCTACCTGCATAATAAGCTTCAGTCTCATATACTTGGTATGAGTACCCACGCAAAGTGCAACAAAAATTATTTTTCATGTAGACTCTTCTAAATTGGCTTTGCTGGAACAACTCACAAGGCCATTTCAGTGAAAGCTCTGAGAAAATAACCAGTTTCTCTAATTGTGTCCCATTACAAAAGAAAACATGTGGTTATTAACTGCATGCAAACAAACACATGGCCATGAATTAAGAATATTCACAACAGCCATACTTAAAGACACAGTCGACAAGGAAATTTGGTTATTTCTATGGTATACAACAATTTAACATAATAATCATATATTACTGAAAATGTATATTAAGACATATCACAATTCAAGGAGTCTCATACAATCCTGGAACACATGCTAATAAAACATCTATATAAATATAACCCAAAGGAGGCTAAACACTACCTCAGATTTGACAATGCTTGTTGTGTAATCATAACATTACAAATACACCTAATAAGCCCAATGTGTCTTTGTTGAATTTCAGGTAGCCTAATATCCAAAAAGTTTAGTTTGAGGTCAAAAGACTCAATTTAAGACTTGAAATTCTGCTGTTGGAAAGTTTTTCCAATTTCAGTGGTTTAAGAGACTCGGTATCACAAAATACTATCACAAGTTACTATAAAATTGTCATTTAGGTAGCCAAAATTATAATACAAAAACGTTTACTTTTCAATAATGAAGAAATGCAGTTTAACTTCTCAAACAAATAAGACCTAATACTTAAGACAGCACGAGGCAACCAGATTTGTCTCTTCCCCCTCCAATTTCTTCCTGAAGTTTATTCAAAAGGTAAACAAATATTTTTATTACGCAAATATTTTGTCCAAAAGAGGAAACCAAAATTTTACTTTTGTATGGCATATTAGTAATTTTAAATCTAATTTTAATCAAACCTTATAAACAAATTTGACTAATTTTAATTAGACTCACCATAAGGTAGGAGTTCCATAAACTTTTTAATTAAGAATATCAGTTTTGGAAGTTCAGGGTGAGAAATAATCTCCTTTCATTTAAATATGATACAACAAAACAAGGACAAAGTAAAAACAAGCAAACAGTTTCCTTTCAGCTATTTTTAAAAGCAGGTCATCACATATTCCCAAGATTGGTTTCTAGATACGGTACTGACAACTAATTAGATAACTTTCACCATAAAAACTTTTATACCATTGCAACACCTGCACATATTTTGTTTTCAAGTACACACATGAAGGCTCATCACTGATAGACAGCTTGAGATAAAAAAAATCACTGGAAAGTCTCACCTTTGTTATTACTACTTAATCCAGGTGAAGGTAATTTTAATTTGATAGTAGTAAACAAAATTGAATTAGCTTGAGAGAAATTCTAGTCAATATAATTTTCTTAAGGACAAAGCCAATCTTTCCTGAACATTAAAACTTTGTGCCCATATCACAGTTTTTCTTCATCAAAGGAAAAGTTCTGAAACCAACCCAAACTATTGATTCAATTGAATCACCCTGGAAACACACACCACTCAAACATTTCCACTCTCATTTACCCCTCCAAACAACAAAATGTGTAATGTACTATTTCTGTCCAGAATCTATAAAAATAAGTCTTTTATTTTTTAGTTCTCTAGATTATCAGAGGCAAGCAAAATGAACAAAATTCCAAATGGCTGGTGTGCTTCATCAGTTCCTGCAGGCCTGACTAAAGGAGCCTAGGAATCTCAGAGAAATAGAACAAATGATGGCTTGCTAGAGATGCATAGGGAAAAAATAACTATTCACAGAATCAAATAAAATTCTTCCATTGGAAACTAAAAAGCATCATATGCATACAAAAACCCAAAGGAGAACAAATAACAAACAAATAAAATTTAGAAGCAAAAACAAATAAACAGGAAAACAATGCTAAGTATTTTCTACTCAGTCTACACTGGAGGCTACAATGTTATCCAAAGCCCCCCAAAACCCACATAATGAATGTTTTATTGCTCATACACAATTCAATATCCTTAATTTGTACCAATATCACCATACCTCCTATACAATCAAGAAATTCACTCTGGGAACATTACCAGTAAGTACTACAGTGCTAGTATAATCCATGCAAAACAGTAAACATAGTGTGAAGCAATGCAAGCATGTATGTGAAATTTGGCTCCACACTAAATCTGGCTTCATGCTTAACAATATTAAAAAAGAATATCGCCAAACTGCCGATGCATTTCTTTAAAATATTTCTTATTTTACTTTAATCAAGACTAAGAGCTTTAACTATAAAAATGTTAATTAGCCAGATTTATCCAAATCTCTATCAGGTTTTAAATAATATTTTGTTATCTAAACTTCTTCAGCTTTATATTTTCTCTATATGTACTTGAAGATAGGCATACGGAGAAACAGGAAAAATTACATATTACTTGAAAGGCAATCTATGACATGCGTGGGCTTTTTGTTCAGTTCCAGATTTTCTCCTTCTTCTTCCCTTCCTTCTTCTTCTTCTTCTTCTTTAAATAACCAGTCATTTTACTCTAGGCCAAAAAAAAAAAAAAATCACCATACAAGATCCTTTCTCATACAGAATTATTATTTTCTTTATAATCTTCCTTACCAAAAATACATCTTCATATACATAACTATCTTTACATCCCTCTCCCTTACTGGTTTTTCACTACCTTGTTTTATAAATAACCTCTACAAACCTGTAATTTGAATTAACTTTTAAATTAATTTTCTATTCTTTTCCTCATTAATAACATGACCCTTTCACAGTTTGTATACAGAATTATGCATTAACTAGAATTTTTATACTTAGTAACCTAAAACTTTAATGAAACCCTAAAAACCAAGAAACCCTGAACTATCAGATATGGGCATTTATAGGTAAGAACAATTCCACAATTTTTAGAACAATATTTCCCCTGTCACAACCCTTTCTTAGAAATGACACAGATATTCAATGAGCATCAAAAATAATTTTAGAATTTTAAATTACACAAGAAATTTACCTACAGCATCTCATTTACATGGACTCAGCTTTCATTTTTAACAGTTTATCTAGATTACTTCTGAAAACTGAGATATTAGACACCATCATTTAAAGTGAATCATTTCCTTGTTTACCATTTTATAATCTGTGAATATCAGGTGTTCACTGAAATCAGAACCTTAAAGTTAAATACATAGACTTTTCATCAATAACTCAGAAAATTCAGTTGTTTTCATTAAATTGTAACATTAGTCTTACTAATTAAATCATAACATTAGTCTTACTTATCAAAAAATCTGCACAGAGATCATTTTGTTTTGGTTAGGTTTATAGTTTTATAACCTTCTATGCCAAACCCTGACACCTCAAAATATCTACCAGAGACAAAGATAAAATCCAGACAAAAATATATGCTGACAATTCTGAAGGCATTTCTATTTTCATTTTACCAATAATTTTAAAGACAGCTTGTTTAGTAAAGTTATACTTAAGTCACCTGAACTTGAAAATTGCTTAGGCATTTTTACTTAATTTATGGGTACTCTTTTACTTATAAGCCAATTTGGTAGACACAACATATAACAATAAGTGTACATACAAATAAACACATCTAGACACGTATGAACACACATAAATGAAGATCCAATAGCTTTTACCTCGGAACTCTAGCCATGACATAGCAATATAAACTCATCGGTTTTACATTGTTTGCCCCAATAGGTAATCCAATGAAGGCTGTGAACCAAAATTTTGAGTAAAGCAGTTTCCATGGCAGTTTGATTTTTAAAGTTCAAACCTCCTCAGGATCCAACGAACACTGGGACCAAATAGCACCAAAGGAGAACATCACATACTAACCAGGCCCTACCTTACTTAGAATAGCAACACAAAAGCCTAGATACATGCAATTCCCTCCCACTTTCCCATTCAAGAGCAAGCTCCAGATTCCAAACAATATTCAGGCCAAACAGTATTGGAAAAGAATATCAAGTGTGTTCTCTTTAGATTGTCAGGGTCAAACTGATTCTAATGAGGATGTGGCCAAACAGGGCGCCACATGGAGTAAATGGAGTGTTTCCCATTTTCATATATGGGAGAAAATTCTAAGGAGGGCTTAGTACTAGACTGCAGAACCTCTGCAGAGGGCATCCCCATTGGAGAGGTCGAGGTCTGGAGTCGGATCCGCTGGGGCATTCCCTTTTGGGATCCAATCTTAGAGAGTCAGATATCTCTGACCTTAGCTGGGCACTGGTGCCACTTTTTATGTTTTCCCTCCAGAGCCGATGGCCTAGTAAAAACTTTCCTTTTGTCCCTAAATGAAGACCTTGACTTCTAGCACCCATATAATTTAATAAGACCACACTTTTCCATGCTTTCTATTCCACTAGAATGATAGCCATGAACTTTAATGGCAGAAAGTGGAGGCTGGGTGGGTTTCTTTTGTCCTTAGCCAGTGGAATAGATCTAGTAGGAGAAAGGAGGTCAAAACACCTAAGAGACATTATCTTTTGCCATTATGTGTTAACTGTATAGGAGAATTTAGCATACAGAAAGAAGGTTTAAGTCACCTGAAATGTGTGCGAATTCACCCTGGACGAGCTGCCAAAGCCAATTGTGTCACATGTAGGGATCAGGTACTATAAATGGAAAATATAGAATGAAGTCCTTCCCCCTAACGGGCAGGGAAGCTATCCCTGTTTACTCCTTGGCTTTCAGGTAACACCAGAGTGGTCCTGGCTAGCTGCCTTCAATTACCAAGGAGTTGCCAGGAAACAGCTATTTAAAGACTGAAGGAAAAAAAAAAATGGAAAAGGTTCTTCACTCAATCCAGGTGGTGTAGTCAGGCTTTTCCACAAGGAAACCTTTCAGCTTCACCAGAGTGGCCTTGGGCGGAAACCTGCAGTTGCCTCTGGGCTTAGGTGCTGTCTACCGAGGGTTCTGATTTGGAAAGAGAAATAGAGAAAAGTGTTCCCCTGTATGGAGCAAAGAGGAAAAGGGAAAAGAAGAAGAAAAATAAATTCCAAACTTTTAAGTTACCTCCTGGCTGGCTTGCCAAAATATATTACCAGTGGAGGGTGTTCAGTTTCGTGGTGCTTTGAACAACTAATCGGAAAAAACACACAAACGAAGCAACAAAAGAAAAGCACAGATTTATTGAAATGAAAGTACACTCCACAGAATGGGAGCAGGCCGAGCAAGTGGCTCAAGAGTACTTGTTACAGAATTTTCTGGGGTTTAAATACCCTCTAGAGTTTTCCCATTGGTTACTTTTGTTTACACCCTATATCAATGAAGTAGTGGTCCACGCTAGTCTGATAGGTTGCAGAAGGTAACCAATCAGAGGATGAAGTGAAGTTACAAAGTTACATGTGAAGTCTTGGCCTGTGACCAGTCTAATTGTTTGCAGAAAGAGACCAATCAGAGGTACTTTCATTTTTTGTCTGCAATGCAAAAAAGGGGAGTTGCAAGGGGAGTAGCCTCTGATCCTTTTGTTACTCTGGTGTGGGGAGCTGGGGTTTCTTTCAGAGTCATTTCTAAGAAGTCAGCATGAATTGGCCTTAGGTTCTCTGCCTTCAGATCCTATTCTCCTGCTTCATAATGATTTATTTTTCTCCTTTGATTTGTAATTTAGACTCATATTTTTTAATGGAAAATATTTTTAAATATTTCAAAATAAAGTGTTAAAATATTTAAATAACAATGGATATCAAAGAATGCACACTTATACAACAAAAGAGTGTTTGAATTATGTCTAAAAATAGCACATTATTACACATAGTTATGTGTCATTTTAAATCCTGATCACTCTAAAATATCTTTATGGTTTTATTGGTATTATTCACCAATAATTTATAATTTAACTTATTGTTTATTAGTATTTCTTTAGCTGTATTTATTATATCTTCCTTTTATAAAATCATTAAAATATTTTTTATCAAATTATATGTACTTATTTATGTCTATGGAGTGTTTTATTCAAATGAAAAAATAATTAACATTTTTATACTGAAGAATTACTTCAAAATTTTAAATAATTTTATGAAAATATGTTCTTTTATGACGCTTTTATTTGCAGTTTTACTTTAGTAACTTTATTACAATTATAAGTGTACATTTTAATATTATACACATATTGTAAAACTTTCATGACAAAATATTTTATACATTATAAATATATTCATAAAAAGTGAAAACATATCTGAACAGATTCTTATAAGGACAAGTCAAAGACAGACATGTCTATTAATAAAATATAAATTCAGGACATTTTCACTCACAATCTAATATTTTGCTTTCAAAATTTGAATACGCTATAACATTTAGCAAAGATTCATTAGTGTCTTTTAATTATATAAGACTAACATAAAGTCATTTTTCAGAGTATTTATGAGTATGCCATATTGGAAATCACAGATCATAAACAGCATGGAGATTCTTATAGCATTATAATCGACCATTAAGTAACGTGTTTGACCTGTGCAGGTACACTTACACACATTTGTTTTTCAATAAAAGTTACATGGAGTGTACCTGCCTCTCCTGCTCCTGCTTCTACCTCCTCTACTTCTTCTGCCTTTGCTATCACTGAGATAAGAAGACCAATCCCTCCTCTTTCTATTCTTTCTCAGCCAATTCAATATGACAATGAGGAAGATGAAGACCTTTATGATGATCCATTCCACTTAATAAATTGCAGATATATTTTATCTTCCTTGATTTTCTTAATAACATTTTATTTTCTCTAGCTTACTTTATTGTAAGAATACAGTATAGTGGCCCAGGTGCAATTGTTCCTGCCTGTAATTCCAGCTACTCTGGATGCTGTTACAAGAGGATCTCTTGCAGCAAGGTCTGATCATGACTCTGCACTCCAGCTTGGGTGACAGAGTGACTGTCTCTAAGATAGATAGATGGAGAGATATGTATTTGATGTTATATGTGTTATATACTAGATATACATAATACATTTTACCTGTGATATATATTATGTGTGTTATATGGTACATATAGTACTATATAACAGATAAAATTTGTTGTTAGAACATTTATGCTATTATGCTATTAGTAAGGCTTTTGGTTAATAGTAGGCTATTCATAGTTAAGTTTTGGGGGAGTCAAAATTTATATACTAGAGTCAAAAGCTATGCACTGGATTTTTTGACTCTTGGGAAGTGGAGCAAAATGGCCAAATAAAACACTCCAGCAATCGTCGTCTCCCACAGGAACACGGAATTGAACAACTTTCCACTTCAGAAAGCACCTTCATAAGAACGTAAAATCAGCAATCAAAGTACCTGGTTTCAACATCATATGAAGGAAAGGGGCACTGAAGAGTGTAGGAAAAACAGCTTTGAATTTTTAACACCACCCCTCCAACATCTCTCAGCAGCAGTGTGTGGTATAGAAGGAGAATCTTTGTGCTTGGGGGAGGGAAAGCAAAGTGTTTCTGACACTTTGCATTGGAAATCAGTGCTGCCCTGTCACATGAGAAAGCAACATAGGGCAGAATTTAGCTGGTGCCCATGGAGGTAGCATTTTGACTAGCTCTAGTCAGAGAAAAGTCATCCATCCCAGCAGTAGGAATCCGAGTTCTGGCAAGCTCCATTACCTTAGGCTAAGAGGCTCTGAGTTTCTAAATATACTTGAAGGGCTTAATATACTTTAAGCCACAAGGAGTGCAATTCCTGGGTAAATTCTGCATGTAACCTAGAGAGCTGGCTCAGAGCCAGTGGACTTGGGGTGCATGTAACCCAGAGAGATACCATTTGTGGTGGCCAAGGGAGTACTTATGTCACCCCTCCCACAACCCCAGGTGGTGTAGCTGGCAATTTTGGGAGAAAGGGGAAGGCAAAGAGGACTTTGTCTTGCAACCTGGATACCAGCTCAGCTCCAGTGAAAGAAAGCACCATACAGAGTCCTACAGCTCCTATTTCAGGCCATAGTTCCCAGGCAACATTTTCTAGACCCACCTTGGGCCAAAGGGAACCTACTGTCCTGAAGAAAGAAGCCAGTCCTGGCAGAATTTACCACAGTTCACTTAAAGGGCCCTTGAGCCTCTAATAAACTTTAGTGGTAGTCAGGCAGTAGTTACTATGGGCCTTGGACAAAACCTAGTACCAATCAGGCTTCAGGTGTCACCTAGTACATTCCTAACTGTGGCAGCTACAGGGGAGATACTCCTGCTTGAGGAAATAAGAGGGAAGAGTAAAAATAACTGTCTTACAACGTGGATATGAGCTCAGTCATAGCAAAATAAAGCACCAAGCAGATTACCAAAGTCCCTGATTCCAGGCCCTCTCTCTCAGTCAACATTTCTAGACTCACCCTGGACCACATGGAATGTGATGCTCTGAAAAGAAAGATGGAGTTTTGGCAGAATTCTTTACCTGCTGATGAAAGAGCTCTTGGGCCTTAAATAAACATCAATGGTAGCTAGTAAACAGTTACCACAGGTCTTGGGTGAGACCCAGAATAGTGCTGGCTTTAGATGTGACCCACCACAGTCCCAGCGGTGATGACCATAGGAGTGCTTGCATCACCTTTCCCCAAATTTTAGGCAGAGCAGCACAGAGATAAAGAGATTTTATTTCTGTGGGAGAAGGAAAGGAAAGAGAACAACAGACTCTGCCTAGTAATCCAGGGAATTTTCTTGGATCTAATCCAAGAACACCAAGGCAGTACCTCTACAACTCTGAAAGATATGTATTATTAATGGGCTTGGTTTCTCCTCTAATGCACATCTGGCTACAGCAACCAAAGATACATCACAACATTCAACTCCCTTTGAATACTTGGAAAGACATCTAAAGAAGAATGAGTACAAGGAAGCCCTGATTTAAAAGACGACAGTAAATACCTTACTCTTTAATGTCCAGATGTCAATAAACATCCACAAGAATCAGTATCATCCAGAAAAACTGTACCTTACTGAACAAACCAAATAAAACACCAGTGACCAATTCTGGAGTGATGGACATATGTGACCTTTCAAATAGAGAGCTCAAAATAGATGTTCTAAGAAAGGTCAACATAATCCAAGATAATGGTGAGAAAGCAATCAGAATATTATGATATAAATTTAACAAAGAGATTGAAATGATTAAAAGAATCAAGTAAAACTTTTGGTGCTGAAAAATTCGGTTGACAAACTGAAGAATACATCAGTGTCTCTCAATAGCAGAATTGATCAAGCAGAAGAAAGGATTAATGAGCTTGAAGAGAGGCTATTTGAAAATACATGGTCAGAGGAGTCAAAAGAAAAAAAATAAAGCATTTCTACAGAATCTAGAAAATAGCATCAAAGGGGGCAAATCTAAGCGTTATTGGCCTTAAAGAGGAAGTAGAAAAAGAGATATGGGTAGAAATATTTTTTCAAAGGATAATAACAGAGACTTCCTAACCTAGAGAAAGATATCAATATTAAAGTGCAAGAAGGCTATTAAACACCAAGCAGATTTAACTCAAGTAAGACTACCTCAAGGCATTTAATAATCAAACTCCAAAAGTTCAAGATTAAAGAAAGGATTCTAAAAGCAGCAAGAAAAAATAAACAAATAACATATAAAGGAGCTTCAATATGTCTGGCAGCAAACTTTTCAGTGGAAACATTACAGGTGAAGAGAGTGACATGATACATGTAAAGTCTTGCAGTAAAAAAAATAAAAACAAAAGCAAAAATACACTTTTACTCTAGAATATTATATTCAGAAAAAAATATCTTGCAAACATGAAGAAAAAATAAAGACTTTCCCAAACAAAAGCTAAGAAATTTTGTTAAAACCAGACCCATTCTGTAAGAAATGCTAAAGAGATTTATTCAATCTAAAAGAAAGTCTCTTAGGAGATAATAAAAGTCATCTGAAGGTAAAAAACTCACTTGTAATAGTAAGT
Organism: Homo sapiens; assembly: GCF_000001405.40. Taxonomy (NCBI): domain Eukaryota; kingdom Metazoa; phylum Chordata; class Mammalia; order Primates; family Hominidae; genus Homo; species Homo sapiens. The sequence continues at coordinate 102,626,995 of NC_000006.12, read as the reverse complement.
ACAAAGGCAAATAGAGAATAATATAACACTGTAATTGAGGTGTGTAAACTACTCATATATTGAGGAAGAAGAATAAAATATGAATCCATCAAAAAATAATAACTAGAACAACTTTTTCAAACATAGAGCAATAAGATATAAATGGAAACAACAAAAAGTTGACTAGTGGGAGGAAATAGAGATGAGGTGCATAATTTTTTAAGTTATCTCTTTGCTTGTGCATTTATCTGCTTGTTTTTGCATTAAAGTTGCCATCAGTTTAAAATAATGGGTTATAGGATGTTATTTATAAGGCTCACAATAACCTCAAAAAAGAAACCTTATAATAGATACACAAAAAATATAAAACAAGAAATTAAAACATACCACCAGATAAATTCACTTTCACTAAAAGGAAGTCAGGGAGAAATGAAGAAAGAGAACACCAGAAAACAAACAGAAAGGCAGGAGTAAATCCTTATTTATCAATAATAACATTCCATGTAAATGAACTCAACTCTCTTATCAAAAACATACAGTGGCTGAATGGATTTTTTTTAAAGACACAATGATAATGATCTGTCACATACAAGAAACACAAATAGACTGAAAATAAAGGGATGGAAGAAGACATTCCATGCAAATGAAAAGAAAAAAAATCAGGATATTTAGATCAGACAAAATAGATTTCAAGATTCAAACTATAAGAAGCGACAAAGAAGGCTATTACATAATGACAAGAGAATCAGTTTAGCAAGATAATGTAACAATTGTAAATATGTTTGCACCGAACACTGGAGCACTCAGATATATAAAACAAGTATTCTTAGAACTTCATTAAAAGCTATTAGAACTGATAAGAATTATTCAATAAATTTATGGGATACGATAGCAACATATGAAAATAAATTGTAACTGTATATGTCAACAGCAAACATAAAAAAAACAAGACACTAACTCAATTTACAATAGCTACAAACAAAATTCCTAGGAGTAAACTTAAACAAAGAAGTAAAATATCTTTACAGTAAAAACTGTAAAACATTTATGCAGTAAATTGAAGAGAATACACACAAAAATAAAGAGATATTCCATGTTCCTGGAATGAAAGAATCAACATTGTTAAAATGTTCATATTCCCAAAGCTATCTACAGATTCAGTACAATCACTATCAAAATGCCAGTGGCATTCTTTGCAGAAAAAAGATGAATAATTTTAAATTTATATGGAACTACAAAAGACCCAGAACATCTAAAGCCACCCTGAGCAAAAATAAAACAATGGGAGGAATCACATTACCTGACTTAATATTGTACTACAGAGCTATAGTCTCTAAAACAGCATAGTACTGGTATAAAAACAGACACATAGACCAATAGAACAGAATTAAAATCCCAGATATAAATCCATACATCTATAGTAAACCCATTTTTGACAATAGTTCCTATAACATACACTGGGGATATGATAGTCTTTTCATTATAGAGTGCTGGCAAAACTGAATACCATATGCAGAAGAATGAAACCCCTATCTCTCAACATATACAAAAAAATCAAATAAAAATGACTCAAAGACTTAAATCTAAGCCCCCAAACTATGAAATACTATGAGAAAACATTGGGAAATCTCTTCAGGACAGTGGACTGAGCAAAGATTTCTTGAGTAATACCCCCAAAAGCACAGGCAATCAAAGCAAAAATGAACAAATGGGATCACATCGAGTTAAAAAGCTTCTGCACAGCAAAGGAATTAATTAACAAAGTGTAGAGATGACCCACAGAATGGGAGAAAATATTTGTTACCTGTCCATCTGATGAAGAATTAATAATGACAAAATATAAGGAGCACAAAAAATTCTATTGTGAACAATCTAATAATCCAGTTCAAAAGTGGGCAAAAGACCTGAATAGATATTTCTCAAAAGAAGACATACAAATGAGAAACAGGTATATGAAAAGTTGCACAACATCACTGATCATCGGAAAAATGAAAATTCAAACGACAATTAGTTGTTTTTCACTCCAGTAAAAATGGCCTTTATCCAAAAGATAGGCAATAACACACACTGGCATGAATGTGAAGAAAGAGGAATCCTCATACTCTGTTGGTGGGAATGTAAATTAGTACAGCCACTGTGGAGAACATAATGGAGGTCCCTCAAAAATCAAAAAATAGAATTGCCATATGATCCAGCAATCCCGCGGCTAGGTATATATACCCCAAAGAAAGGAATTCAGCATATTGAAGATGTATTGGTACTCCCATGAAGATTGCAACACTATTTAAAGTAGTCAAAATTTGAAATCAATCTAAATGTTCATCAACTGATGAATGAATAAAGAAAATGTGCTACATATACACAGAGGTGTACTATTTAGCTATAAAAAGAAAGAAATTCTGTCATTTGTAACAACATGGGTAAAATGGAAGACAGTATGTTAAATAAATAAGCCAGGCACAGAACGACAGACTTTTCATGTTCTCACTCATTTGCAGAAACTAAAAATTAAAATAATGGAACTCATGGGGATAGAAAATAGAATAATGGTTACCAGAGGCTGGGAAGGGTAGTGGGTGGGGGGTGGGGCGGAAATAGGAGTAATTGATGGGTAGGTACATAAATATAGTTTGATACAATGAGTTAGATTTAGTACTTGATAACAACAGGGTGACTACAGTCAGCAATAATTTCCATTTTAGAATAACTGAGGGAGTTTAATTGAAATGCTTGTAACACAAGGAACTGAATGCTTTAGGTGATGGATACCCCATTTACACTGATGTGATTATTACACATTGTATGCCTATATCAAAATATCTCATTAACTCCATAAGTATATACACCTACAAAAATTAAAAATTAAAAAAATTAAATTTATACACAAACATTCAACTGAGGTTGGTAATCAGAGCTCCTAACCTGCGTGTGTTCAAGGGCCAAGTGTACATTCTTGCGTTTCAACTTCCCAAATGTGCTATTACCTCACACACTGCTATTTCATCTAAGTACCTCATTCTACTTACTTACTAACTCCTTAAAATTATTTGTGGTTAATTTTCTCACCTGCTTCCTTTTTGCTTTACCTACTACAAAAGAAAATAAATAATATCTCAATGAATGCACATAATTTCAGAGACATTTCGAAGAAAGCAAATATTCTAATTTTTTTCCACTGAATGATCAACATTGGCTAAATTTAATAAAAATAGCTAAACTAATGAAAATTTTAAAATTCTGAAATTTTTGTTACACGTAAAAGGTGTATATGGGGAGGTGGGGTATGGCAGTAAACTGATGAAAATGCAAAACAGAATAAGTGTTCAGAGGATTCAAATTTCTGTGATCTGCTGATATTACTTCCGTTTATTCCTAATATAAGACTTAAGGCAGGGCTAAGACTCTCAAGGTCTCTCTTGGATGCTTAATGTTGGATTAATACTGACTTGAGATTCAGTTGACATCTGTTGAAATAGTTTTGCATGGAAGTCCTAGAGAAAGGGGGCATATTGCTATTTGTGTAGGATAGAATTGAATTCCAACTAATCTGGGAAAACTCTATCCTTATCTCTGGTAATCCTGGATTTTGGCTTTGACTCTCAGCCAAGATAAGGGCTCAGGGATTTATAACCTGCACTTTAAAGTCTAAAACTCCCCTGGATACTGCTAGGATCAGTTTGTTTACTGATGGTTTTCACATAGTGTAGCCTGTTAGACACCCTGGCTTAGCTACACAGTAGATATGCATAATAACCCATCCCAACTTCTGCCTTGAGCTCTCAAGAGGTCAAAAAATTTCAGGCACAGGTCTTAGTTGCATAAAATTTCATACATTAAGGAGTAGATAAAGCCAGGTAGTCCAAAAAAATTCTCTTAACATTAAGAGCAATTAAACATTTGGTTAAAACATGGACATAGTGTTTAGTTGTTGATTATGATGTATTAAAATAGAGAATATAATAAACTGTAAGAATTTATAAAATATGCTATATATTTATAGTTTTTCTGAGAATTTTAGGTTTGAAATATTCTGTGTAACCTCTTTTGATATCCTTCTTGAGTAAGTATCCACAAGGAATGACAAAGCTAAATGATTCATCTTAATTTTGATGGAATTTTCCAACTATGACCTGAGTCCATTAAAATCACATTGAGTCAGAGTAAGGATAAAATGCTCAGGTGTTGGTTAATTCTTAAGACAAGATAAAATAATTTTATGTAAAATATCCTGCTATGACTTAAAGTAACTATCTAAAATGCTAGTCAGTGAAATTTGAGCTGTTCAGTGCTTTTTTAAGATCTTGGCTTAATATCTAACACAGTAGTATATTTTCTTGTCTCAGTTTTAATTTTTAATAAAAATTATGCACATTTAGGGAGCATAATGTTGTGGATTATACATATATATGAAAAAGGATTACTAGTCATGTACATTTTTAATTTGGTAAAGCATTCAAAGTATTTTTTGTTTGCTTGTTTTTTGAGAATGACGAGGCCTCATTCTGTCACCTACTCTGGAGTACAGCAGCACTATCTCAGCTCACTGCGGCCTCAACCTTCTAGGCTCAAGCAATCCTCCCACCTCAGCCTCTGGTAGCTGGTACTACAGGCATAAGCCACCACACTCAGCTAAGTTTTGTAGAGAGAGGGTTCACCATGTTGCCTAGGCTGGTCTTGAACACCTGAGCTCAAGCCCTCTGCCTGCCATAGCCTCTCAAAGTGTTGGAATTACAGGTGTGCTCCACTGCATCTGGCCCAGAATAAAATTCCTGAAAAATATATTTTTTATTTTCAGTAATAAATCCATTCAACAATAAGAACTTTATTAGAGCTTACTTCAATTTTTATTTTTGCAAGTAAAAAGGCAAGAGTCTAAAAAGTTACTTTATTGTTGCCTAAATATTTATTATCTATATAACTCCTCATTTACTACTGATAAAATAGTTTATATTGATAGAATAAACACATTTGAGATCAATATTCATGACACACCACATGTTGTTCAAATATCCAGATTAGAGCATTTACCACTCATAAAGAATCATATGTGCCCAAATAACTCATAAGTCAGATATAAAGTCTGATAGTTAATTTCATATTAATCAATTTTTTAAAAATACTGTTATACTTTCAATGTTTATCTTTATTATATTTGCGATGTACAGTTACATAAAGCATAAAATAAGTAAAGAACAAAACATGTATTTTTGGAAGCAGAAGAATTTAGATTTACAAACTTCAATGCGCATATTCTTGATCAACTTTGTCAAAAAATGTCTTCTTTGAGCTTCAAATTTCTTCATGTAAAAAATGAGAATGCTCCTCTCATTTGGGAATATTGTAAAAATAGCTTTACTATTTTGTAAACCATAGATGCTATGTAAGTGAAACTCATGAAATACATTACATTTAAAAGAAAACAAAGGGTGAAAGAGTTTTCTAATATAATAGGTAAAGTTCACTGAAACCAGTCATATATGGTTGATAGGCTATATAACAATGTCTCAAATTTGATAAATAAACTAATTAAAATGTGTATATACTTCTGAGATCAGATGAGGCTGGGCACACACATGCCTGTTTGTAGCAGCACAATGCTCAATTGCAAAAACATGGAACCAGCCCAACTACGCATCAGTCAGCAAGTGGATTAACAAATTGTGATTATATATATATTTTTTCCTTCTCCCCAAGCAGGAATTGTTATACACACACACACACACACACGCACACACACGATGGAATGCTACGCAACCATAATAAGGAATGAATTAACGGCATTTACAGCAACCTGGTTGGAATTGGAGACTATTATTCTAAGTGAAATAACGCAGGAATGGAAAACCAAACATCATATGTTCTAACTCATAAGTAGGAGTTAAGCTATGAGGACGCAAAGGCATAAGAATGAAACAATGGGCTTGGGGGACTCAGGGCAAAGGGTGGGTAGGGGGTGAGGGATAAAAGACTACAAATTGGGTTCAGTTTACATTGCTCAGGGGATGGGTGCACCAAAATCTTAGAAATCACCACTAAAGTACTTACTCATGTAATCAAATACCACTTGTTCTCCAAACACCTATGGAAATAACAAATTTTAAAAAAAGAAAAAGAATCTGTATATAGATTCCTATCTTTCATTGTGATTAGAGAGCTGGAATCAGTATTGTGAGCAGTCTTCCCCTCCCATCAAAAAATAATAGAACAGTGGTTAAAGTGATGAATTTTGTTAATGCTTCAGAGCATGCTTAGTTAGCAGAGCAGTAAACTGTCTCAAAATCTAAGGAGAGACAGTGCTTGAAGGAAATAAAAGACACGAACATGGACTCACATGGGTTAGATGGAACTGGACACCAGTAAGGAAGAATTCTGTGTGACTGTGGCCTTGAGAGTGATTTTTAAAGATACAACAGCAAAGGCATAATTAATGAAAGAAAAGATAAATTGGACTTTATCAAAATTAAAGCTTTCCTCTACAAAATAACTTCATAGTCAAAAAGATCAGCTACACATGGGGAAAACATATATGAAAATCACATTTCTAATAAAGAGGTTTATATCAAGAAAATATAAAACTCTCCCAAAACTCAAAAATAAAAACAAATAATCAACTGAAAAATGGGCAAAAAATAAGAACAAACACTCTACCAAATAAGACATATGGGTGTCAAATGACCACAAAAAATGCAAATTTTAAACCACAATAAGATACCACCACAAAGTTATTACTACATATACATGATATAAAAATATATAATTACTATATATAACTATTATATATAACTTACTATACATATATGTACACAATTTTGGTTGTTTCTGTCAAGAACTCAGAGCAAATAGAAATCTCTTATATTGCTTACTGGGCCATAGTAGAGTATAGTACATTATAGTATAGTATAGTCATCATTTAATCAGCTAAAAAATAATTTGTTAGTTTCTTATAAAGTTAAATATATGCCTACAATGTAATTCATAATTCAGTGATCCTACATCTAGATATCACTCCATAAAAAATAAAAACTTATATTCATCCTCCAAATGGTACACAGATATCTACAGTATCTTATTCATAATTACCAGAAACTGCAGACAATCCAGATCCCCTTCAACTGGTAAATTGTTAAGCTGTTATAATTCATAAAATGAAACACTACTCAGTGATACAGAGGAATGAACCAGTGTTAAACTGTTATTATTAATTCTCTTCCCCCATGTCTAAAGCTAGAGGGCGCTGGAGTTATGTATTTTTTTCCCCCCCACCTTTGGTTATACGAGTAAAAGCCAAGGTTGGTGAGTTTAGTAAAATAGTTTCTTTTGAGGGAAAGCCTTTATTAAGGAGAATGGAATTATCTGGGCATATGTCAGAGCATTATTTTTCTCCTCCCAAAGCAAGAAAAAAAAATTTCTCCAGTTTTATATGAGAGCATGGTGGACTTCTCGAAAATAAAACTCATTTGTGGCTGGACTCCTCAGAGTCTGACTATCTGAAGATGGCCCACAGTGAGCCTCCTATAAGTCTTCAATTATAGTTTAAGTGTTTCTACTGATGTTGGCCCCAGCAATGGCTTCTGCTCCTGGGCTTTTGCTCCAGGTAAGTTGTGTTCTCTGTCTGCTTCTATATTCAGTTTTGGGCATCTGCTTGCCCTCTAATCTCAATACATGCAAGAACACTTGTTTTTCAGCTTGAACAGTTCAGTTTTTTTTTTTTGTTATTTTAAGGATAGGAGTGTTGACTTCCAAACTACTAACATGTCAGAGTAGAAACATAGCCCCTTATTTCAACTGCTTAATAACTCTGTGTTGCACCCAATATGACACTGCCTGATAATCTCAGAATTCTCTACTGAGATGGACAGAGATTCTACATAACACCCTTATCTTCCATAGATATATATAGCTTTGTGGCATTTGCAAAATTAGATGGCTCAAGTGACAGCACCACTTAGTGCCATAGTTTGAAACTGATACAGGCTCTTCTCTTGCTCTCAGCCCCACTCAAAACTTAACAATGGATTTAGGTATCATCAGTATAGAAGACCAGCACGATCATCTCTACATTATGCACCAGATCTAGCCTCCTTTACACTTTATTGTAACACAGAGTAGGATAAATAATATAGCTGTTGAAGTGTGAATTCATGAATGGGTGAAGTTAATGTGTACTGCAGTCTGTTCTAAACGAATGCAAGCTGAATTTGATTCTCCTGCTGGATTGAGATTAGTAAGAATACATCAATGACCACATGCCGAGTAGTTGCGTGATCTGTTTTAGTAAATATACCATATTCATTAGGGCAGCCATAGTTGAAGTTATCACACAGTTAAGGTTAGGATAGACCACTGTCATCTATTTTGATCTATATGTTTTTGCAGGGTGTAAAGTACTGAATTAAATGCAGATATGATGGGAACACACACATTTACATCCTATGAAGTTTGCACTATACTGAATGCTGTTTCTGGTACACTGTTTTGACTCGGAGTTAGAGGTATCATGGACTTATATTGAGCATTTTTCTGCTGTAGTTACTCTTAAATCCGCAGTTTAAGAAACCGATGTCGGGGTACTGTGAGCTCTTGAACATATCCTTCTTGATTAAGCACTCAAAGACCAAAGAAACAGACTGGGCCCACAGACCTATTGGAAACATTGTGAGATGGAGTTGGGCTAGGATTTGAATTATCAATCTAACCAGAAAGTAAAAGGATGAGGAGGGTTTATGGCTTTTGAATTCCCTGGTATCAGTTTACTGTCAGCACAAACTCTGCATCCAATAGCCCTAGGAAGATCTATTTCCTTTTCCTAGTATTTAGTTACATGAAAAATAGCTGTAGGTTTTTTTTTTTTTTTAACTGGTGGAGGGTCTTGAATATGTGTCATCCAGGTTCTTGGTGTTTTGAACAAAGAATTAGACAAAACACACAAACGAAGTAAAAGAATGAAGCAATAAAAGCACAGAATTATGGAAGCAAAATTACACTCTACAGAGTGGGAGTGGGCTTGACCAAGTGCCTCAAGAGTGCTGGTTACAGAATTTTCTGGGGTTTACATACCATCTAGATATGTCCCATTGTTTACTTGGTCACATCCTATGTAAATGGAGTGGCCCACAACCAGTCTGATTTGTTGCGAAATGTGACCAATGAGAGACTGAAATAAAGTTACAAAGTTACATCCCTATGCGAATAAAGACTAGGTCTATGACCAGTCTGATTGGTTGCAGGAGGAGACCAATCAGAGGTACTTTCCATTTTTCATTTGTGATGCAGAAAGAGGGAAGATGGCAAAGGCAGTAGCCTCTGATTATTTTGTTACTTGGGCATGGAAAGGTGGGGGTTTTCCTTTGATTCAATTCTAGAAGGCAGTAAGAATCAGCCTTAGGTTCCCTGCCTCCAGACCCTATTGTCCTGCCTCATTTCCCCCCTGAGAGACATGATTCCCATACATCTCATGGGAGGCAGAGAAACTGATGGTCTTTTTTCTGTGACTGCTTCATGCGGACTTGGGGTGCAGTCTCTACCTATTGGGGATCAAATAACTTTTGCCTTGTTCTGTCTAGTGGATACATGGTAGTTTCTTGATGGCCAGGGGTGGTGTCTTCACCTGAAACTGTCTGGAAGCCTTGTCGCATGATCATCTGAAGCTTGATGGTATCTAGGTGAGAAGAAATGAATTTGTTTAAGAGATTTAACAAACATGGTCCAAAAACCAAGGCAAGTATGATATTAATAGTGGGCTGGCCAGAGGAAGGAGCCATGAACCCAAACTTACCATTTTTTACCAGGAGCCCCATGACTCAGATGGTGGTTGTCATATCTTAGAGTCCCGATCAGCTAGTTTTCAGGTGGCGTCTCTTATTAATCCTGATTGGTTGACATCAAAACAGCATTCTTGCTCTAGAAAAAGACATAAGCCAGATCTAGTCCCCTTCTATTTTGCAAAGTAGCTGCTGCCAAGGAGTCTATTTGATTTTGTGTGGTGATGAAACTTTGGGCAATGTTATCCAAGCTTTCCATAAAATCCTTGGAGAAAAGTCGGTAATAGGATAGAACTGTTGCAAACCTGCTAACTCCCATTCCTGCTCTTACTGTTATTTCTATCCCTAGGGGTATAGTTTGATGGCTTGTTTGATGAGTATGAGTTTGATGGCTTGTTTGTGTCTGTTGGTTGCAGTTAAAGGTATAATGAGGGATTGTTTGTTGAGGGCTATATTAATTTTGGGGGCTAAACAAACAAGTGTACAGGTTCCAGTACAATTGGCTGATAATCATACGTAGGAACTGGTTCCACACAGAAAAAAAAAAAAAGGCTTCTTGTTTTTCAAGATAAAAATTGTTTTCTATGGTGAACGTGTGGGTTAGCTTGTTGTTTGCACGTTGCCAGGTGGTTAAGGTCCCTGCTAAGGTGGCTCTGGTTAAAGGCTGGAAAGAACCTTGGAAAATATCCTGAGCTTCCCCAGCAGTTCTATTTTCCCAGTGGAGGTAGTTATGCTTAGTGTACACTGACAACCACCCAGAGGTATTTTTGTAATGGGCAACCAAAAGGCAACTAGATATCTCAGGATTAATACAGTCTTCCCAAAGGAAAATATGAACACAGCTAGTGGGCTTATCTTGACGGTACTTAGACTATATATTATTTAAAGTGGCCTTAACTAGTACTGATTTTCCTGAAAAGTGTACAGGTTTTTAAAATGATGTACTCTGGATATTTTCATAGTTATTGGTTGTATTCATTGGACTGGTGGTATTTAACAGTCTTTGTGTTAAATTTAAAGTTTTTAATAAATACCCAGAATCCATTAATTGCCAGAAGGATAAAGTGAAACTCTGTTGTAAAATAAAGCTGATTCCAAGTACGCATGGTCCCAGTATACACAGGCTGTGGGTGATCATTATGGAACAAAAAATACTCCTTTGTTATTTTGTTCCATAGAATGGGAACATAGCGAGGTGGATACCTATGCTGTCAGGAATGTTTCTTATAACAATGAATTAGAACATTTTTCTTAATTATTAAAAAGGAAGTGATTTGTCCATTTGGAAGAAAGCAGTTAAATTGTAAAATATAAATCTGGCTATTATTATCCAGCCTACAGTAACTATGCAACAAAGATACCAAGGAAAGTTGGCAGGTATCTACTTATCTTTTGGCTGTCTTTTAACAGGTACTTCAGGTATTCCACAGGTTCACAGGAGTAGTGGGTGATGGATGGGAGCTTCAGGTTCCAGTTCTAGGGCTTCAGGTATTGCAGTTTTGACTATGGAAAGATAAATCCAACTATCTAATCCTAGTACTCTGACAGCAGAAGACGTGGCCAGTAGCACTGAAAATTGTCCATTTCTTTTTGGTTGTAATTGTTATGCAGGTGATCCCTCCTTCCATATTTAAAAAAGCACCTTATCTCCTGGCCTGATTTTGGGTTGCAGGTTAGTTGCTGCTGTGGAGAGCCTTTGAGTTCCAAACTTTTGTAAAGCAAAGATAGGCCATTATCACTTTGGACACTCTGGGTTAACCCAAACTGGGGGATTATTTTCTTTAAGAGAATCTTTATAACTCCATTAGCCTTCTCTCTTCTGGTAAGGTAAGCTTGTATACTTTGCAAGCTGGCATATGGGTGAAGTCTAATTGTCAATCTTCTCCTTTAATTTTAGTCCATGTGTTCACATACAGAATCTATTTTACAATTAGTTATTCATAAACCTTCCACAAATTGTTCAAACCTTTAGATTTTTCTGGTCTCACTTAAAACAATCCTTCAATCCTCTAAATTTGGGAAAGAAATCCACATTCCCATGACTTTTATTCTACTTTCATTCTAGTTCATTCTACTTTTCTTATACAGTTCCTTTTCCTGACTTACACAACCCATCTGCAACATGCTAGGTTTTCTCACTTGTCCTAAACATCCCTCTTCTTAAAAAAAACAGTCATTTTACTTTAGAACAAGAATTTACCACATAAGATCTTTCATCATACAATATTATTGTCCTACAACTTTCCGTATCAAAAATACATCATATACTAATTTTGTTCACACATCACAATTCTTTTCATGACTTACACAACCCATCTGCAACATGCTTAGGCTTTCTGACTTGTCCTAAACATACCTCTTATTAAAAACACAGTCATTTTACTTTAGAACAAGAATTTACCATGTAAAATCTTTGATCATACAATATTATTGTTTCTACAACTTTCTTTACCAAAACACATCTTCATATACTAATTTTCTTCACACATCTCTCCCATACTTACTGGTTTGTTACTACCTTGTCTCATAAATAACCCTTTTTTTAAGTCCATAATTTGAATTAACTTTTAGATAACTTCTGAATTACACACAAATATTACTTTTCTTCCTAATAACACATGTTTTGGCACAATTTTGTATACAGAATTATCTGTTAAATAGAATTATTATCCTTAATAACCTTAAATTTTAGTGAAACCCTAAAATACAAGAAATCCTGAACTATAAGATATGAGCATTTTATGCATGAGGAAAATCACACAATTTTTAGAAACATATTTTACCATATCATAACCTTTTCTTAATTGGAAATAAATCAGATATCCAATGAACATTGAAAATAACATTAAGATTTTAAATTACACAAAAAGTTTACCTAAAACATTTATCCCAGTTACATGTACTCAATTCTTTCATTTTTAACTGTTTAATCTAGATTAATTCAGAAAACTGAGATATTAAACACCTTAAAATATTTAGAAAAGACAAATATAAAACAGACAAAAATGTATGTTGACAATTCTGAAGATATTTCTATTTTTATTTTACCAATAATTTTAAAGCCAGCTTGTTTAATAAAGATTTACTTAAGTCACATCAAGTTGAAATATCCTTGGACTTATTTACTTATTTTATGAGTGCTCTTTTACTTATAAGCCAATTTGGCAGATACAACATATAACACATACAAAGCTATGAAATAATGAAGCAACAAAAGCACAGATTTATTGAAATAAAAGTACATGCCACAGAATGGGAGTGAGCTTGAGTAAGTGGCTCAAGACTGTTGGTTACAGAATTTTCTGGTGTATCAATACCCTGTAGAGGTTTTGCACTGGTTATTTGGTTACACCCTATGAAAATAAATAAATGGCCTGCAACCAGTCTAATTGGTCATGAGAGGTGACCAGTCAGAGGCTGAGGTGAAGTCACGAAGTTACACCCCTATGCAAATAAAGACTACACCCATGCTCAGTCTGAATGGTTGCAGGAGGAGACCAATTAGAGGTACTTTCAATTTTTCACCTGTGATGCAGAAAGGGGGAGGGTTGCAAATGGAGTGGCCTCTGATTCTTTTGGTACTTTGGCATGGAAAGGTGAGGTTTTCATTTTGTTTCAGTTTTATGAAGTCAACATGAATCAGCCTTAGGTTTCCTGCCTCCAGACCCACTTCTCCTGCCTCACACTGGAGAAAACTTACTGAGCAACGTAGTAAATACTTGCTGTGGTGTTATGCAGTCCTCCTTAAGAGGATCCAGTCTCATTAAATCAATGAATTCTAGGTCTAAGAAGTGACTTATATCTGGAAAATGTAGATAGAATTATGCCTTTTAATTTTTAGTAACAGACATTGTTAGAGGTCTTGAAACCGCCTTCATGATTCAATTACCTCCTACTGGGTCCCTCCTACCACACGTGGGGATGATGCGAACTACAATTCAAGATGAGGTTTGGGTGGGGACACAGTAAAACTATATCAAATGGGTTTCATATCTTTAAGGAAAAAGCTTAAATTTTAACTTAGTCCTCAAGTCCATTAAGGACTGGAAAATGAATTTGGTATCTAGAACTATTATTCAGGCACTGTCCTAGAAATACATTTCCATTGCCTTTTCATGGTCCTTTTATTTTATTTTTTGTAAATTTCCAGAAGTGTCATTACATTTTATATCTTTCTTTTCATGTGTGCAATTTTCTCTGATCATTATGTATGACACCGAATGCTTCCTTTGATCAACTCTTAGACATACTTCCAAATTCATCCAAGCAGCCCTTGCATAGTTAAATTTTTGATGGTACTTATCTGGTTAAAATACTCCAAACACTTGGTGATATAGCCATCGGAATATTTGCTGGGGTATGAAAAACAATTGTTTTTAATACAGAATATATGTACCTTGATAATACATTTACACTAGGTCTTATTCGTTCCTCAATGTCTACTGTACAGTAAAGTGCTGATATAGTATAAGTGATTATGAACTATTGGATGAATTAAATGAATAAAAGAAAAACTTTGGTGAATATTTTTGTTGATTTCTGTGAGAAACTGCTTAGAACTTCTCCTTTCTATACAATACTAGTATAATTCTGATCATATAATATAATCTAACTCCTCTTAAGTTAAAGAAGAGTCATTATATTTCTAAGCAAAAAACTGACTGTCATCATGGGTTTCCTAGACAGACCAATTTTAGTTTAAATTGGGGTTATACATCTTTATAAAATGTACTAACCTTAGAGGTTTATGTGAGAATTTAATTATTAATAAAACTATTCCTAAAATGCTTAGAAGAATATCTGGTAAGGAGCTATTAATCAATAAATAATTGCTGTTATTATTATTGTCATGTCTCAAACTTCCTAAAAAGGTTTTTATTGATATTTGAGAATCTTTCAAAAACTGAAATGTGTTTAAACATGTTTAGATAGTGAAGTATTTTTAAAATTATATCATCCAAAGATATATAAAATATTTTTAATTTTACATATTATACATTTGTTGTTTTTATGGTACTTAAAATTATTTACATATATGTCATTTATAATAATTTATAGTCTTTTATTGTGTTTAGTAGAGTGCCTAGCATAATGCAGGCACTTCTATAAAATTTGACTCCATTGGTTCTTAACATTAAAACTATTTAATTTCAAAGTTTATGCCCAGTTTAATATAGTAAATTGTATTATTTTTACATTTATTTAACTGATTTACACTTGCAAGCATTTTATTACTAGGGGATGTATATTGTCATGTTGTATTAGAGTTCTCCAGAGAAACAACCAACAACCAATGGGACATGTGTATCTATACATATGGGTATATATACATATATTTTCTATTATTATATATAATACATAGTAACTATTATATATTGTGTGTATAATTATATAAAATTATTTATAATACATAATAGATTTGTATACATAATCATATATAATTATTAATAATATAAAACTATTATATATTGTATGTATAATTATATATTATTAATATATCCATTACATATTTTATGTGTAACTATATACAATTATTTGTAATATATAATTATTATGTAGTATGCATAATTATATGTAAATATTTATAATATATAACCAATATATTATACATTGTATGTGTTTTAATTATGAAATATTCCATGTAATGCCACACATTTTATATTATTATATATTATCTATAAAGAGAGATGTTATATTGTTTTTCATAAAACAACAGAAAGAGAAAGTTTAAGGAGTTAGCTCACCTGATTGTGGAAAGCTGGCAAGTTTAAAGTCTGCACGCTAAACCAGTAGGCAAGACACCCAGAGAATAGTTGAAATTTAATTCCACAGGCAGTCTGCTGGCCGAATTCTCTCTTCTTCCAGGGAGGGCAGTCTTTTTTTAATAAGGCCTCCCTTGAACTGATTGGATGAGCCCACCACATTACGAAGAATAATGTGCTTCACTCAAACATACTGATGTAAACATTAACCTTAGTTAAAATTACCTTCACAGAAACATCTAGAATAATATTTGACTAAATATCTAGGTACCTTGGCATAGCCAAGTTAACACATAAATTAAACATGCAAAGTGGTAAAAGCATAAATTCTGAAACCATATTTTCTGGGTTCATAACTCACTTCCCCTGCTCAGTTGCATTACAGCTACTTCACTTTTCTTTAAGGCAACTTACTTCACTTTTCTAAATTTCAGATGCCTCATCTATCAAATGAGGATAGAGAAAGTATTAGTTTCAGAGGCTCATTATGAAGACTAAAGTTAATGAGAATAATGATCTTAACACAGTGTATCTTGCATACTAAATGCTTCAAGATTGGAGGATTTATTATTAGTTTCAAAAATAGACCCTTGGTAAGAATCTTTTTTGTAAACAAAAATATCAAGTTTTTATATTAAGGTTTTAATAACTCCATATTAAACCTCTTTCTGTGACTTGTGGCTCATCTTTAAATACATAGGAACAATTCACCAATGGAAACAAATGGACTAAGATGTTTGAGAAGATTATTCTTGAAAAGTTGATTCCATGCTCAGTTGTATTTATATTAGGATGACAACTTACATATTATTCTTATTTTAATTTTACATTTATAATCATGAAGGTAGTTTCATAAACATTATTGAAATTATTAACATTATAACTGACAAAGGGCTAATATCCAGAATCTACAATGAACTCAAACAAATTTACAAGAAAAAAACAAACAACCCCATCAAAAAGTGGGCAAAGGACATGAACAGACACTTCTCAAAAGAAGACATTTATGCAGCCAAAAAACACATGAAAAAGTGCTCACCATCACTGGCTATCAGAGAAATGCAAATCAAAACCACAATGAGATACCATCTCACACCAGTTAGAATGGCAATCATTAGAAAGTCAGGAAACAACAGGTGCTGGAAAGGATGTGGAGAAATAGGAACACTTTTACACTGTTGGTGGGACTGTAAACTAGTTCAACCATTGTGGAAGTCAGTGTGGCGATTCCTCAAGGATCTAGAGCTAGAAATACCATTTGACCCAGCCATCCCATTACTGGGTATATACCCAAAGGACTATAAATCATGCTGCTATAAAGACACATGCACACGTATGTTTATTGTGGCACTATTCACAATAGCAAAGACTTGGAACCAACCCAAATGTCCAACAATGATAGACTGGATTAAGAAAATGTGGCACATATACACCATGGAATACTATGCAGCCATAAAAAATGATGAGTTCATGTCCTTTGTAGGGACATGGATGAAATTGGAAATCATCATTCTCAGTAAACTATCGCAAGAACAAAAAACCAAACACCGCATATTCTCACTCATAGGTGGGAATTGAACAATGAGAACACATGGACACAGGAAGGGGAACATCACACTCTGGGGACTGTTGTGGGGTGGGGGGATGGTGGAGGGATAGCTTTAGGAGATGTACCTAATGCTAAATGATGAGTTAATGGGTGCAGGGCAGCAGCATGGCACAAGTATACATACGTAACTAACCTGCACAATGTGCACATGTACCCTAAAACTTAAAGTATAATAATAATAAAATAAGAAAATTATAATTGTGAATAATATGTTTTTAAATTTAAAATTACCTCCATAACTTTTACTAATCACCTTGAAAATTTACATTATTGTGAATTTCTCTTTTTCTTTTCTTTCTTTTTTTTTTTTTTTGAGATGGAGTCTCGCTCTGTCACCCAGGCTGGAGTGCAGTGGCGTGATCCCAGCTCACTGCAAGCTCCACCTCCCAGGTTCACACCATTCTCCTGCCTCAGCCTCCCAAGTAGCTGGGACTACAGGTGTCCACCACCACGCCCGGCTAATTTGTTGTATTTTTAGTAGAGATGGGGTTTCACCATGTTAGCCAGGATGGTCTCGATCTCCTGACCTCGTGATCCACCTGCCTCAGCCTCCCAAAGTGCTGGGATTACAGGCGTGAGCCACCGCGCCAGGTCGTGAATTTCTTAAATTTAGTATTCAACTTTATGTGGAGAGAAGGGAGAAGTATTATCTTAATATTTCAATTCTTCTGTCTTTTTTACAACATTCACTTAAACTGGGGTGAGATGATACCTAATTGTGGTTGTGTTGTGCATTTTGCTTATGATTAGTGATGTGTAACATTTTTTTATATGCCTGTTGGACATTTGTATATCGTTTTTTGAGAAATATTTTCAGGTTTACTGTTTTAAATCAGATAATTTTTTTCTATTACATTGGTTAAGTTTCTTATATCTTCTAGGAATTAATTCCTCGTAAGTTGAACAGTTTACAAATACTTCCTCTCATTCTGTAGGTTGTCTCTTCATTTTGTTTATTCTTTTTCTGTTCTGTGCAGAAGCTGTTTAGGTTGATATGATTCCATTGGTCCATTTTTGCTTTGCTTGGCTGTGCTGTTGAGATCTTACTCAATAAAAGTTTGCCCAAATCAATATCCTAGAGTGTTTCCCCAGTTAATAACTTCCAGAAGATTTATAGTTTCATGTCTTACACTTATGTCCTTAATCTATTTTGATGTTATTTTTATATATGGTGAGAGATACAGGTCTAGTTTCACTCTTTTGCATATGGATATCCAGTTTTCCTAGCGCCATTTATTGAAGAGACTGCTCTTTACCCAATGTATGTTCTTGTTGCCTTTATAGACAATGAGTTGACTGGAAATGCTTGGTTTTATTTCTGGGTTCTGTATTTAGTTTAATTGGCTTATGTGCCTTTTTTTATGTCAACAAATATTACTGGCAAGAATGCAGAGAAAGGCATTCAAACACTGTTGGTGAGAATGTAAATTAGTACAGCCACTACCAAAACAGTATGGGAGTTTAAAAAAAAAATCTATAACTAGAACTACCATATGACCTAGGAATCCCACTGCTGAGTGTGTGTATGTGTGTATATATATATATATGTATTGTATTATATATATATAAACATATACACACATATGTATGTGTATATATAAATGTGTATTTTTTAATAAGGTAATTCACATATCAAAAAGATATCCGCATTACTATGTTTATTGCAGCACTAGTCACAATAGCCAAGATGTGGAATCAACCTATCAATGGATGAATAAAGAAAATGTGGTGGCCAGGTGTGTTGGCTCATGACTGTAATCCCAGTTTTACTATTTTTGCTTAGTTATTATGTAGTTTGCAGTCTTATTTCTATTCCTTTTCAGTAATTAATTATTGAGTATAATTCTAAATACTTCTTATGAGTTTTGCTACATAAATTATCCACTTGTATTACTTTAACAATTGTGTATTATTTTCATACCCCGTTAGAAAACGTTATTTTGAAAACATACATTTTTATTTCCTAGAGATTGTAAGATTATTAGTATCTATTTTTATGGCTTTACCATCAGAGAATATACATATTCTTTTGCATAAACATGCTTCAAATTGTTGCAAGTTTTTGTTACTTTCCAGAGGTCTGAAAAGGTTTATTCTGACAATTTTTGCCAGTTTTTTACTGTTATAGAGGAAAGAATTTTTGTGAGCCTTTCCTGTGCCATTTTCACTGATGTGACTCTTTTAATCTTTAAAATTTTTTTCTTGCTCTTGGTTTTTGAGGGTTCTTAATATAGTCTGATTAAAAGTCCTTTGCCAGATATGTTCTTTGCAAAAAAAAGTTTGTATCTTGACTTTTTATTTTCATAACATGGTCTTTAACAGATCAAAGTTTATCATATAAAGGTACTTAATCCATTCATTATTTTTCTTCATACATTTTGTTATCTCTTTGGACAAGAACAGGATGACTTTTTTCTATATTTTATTCCAAAAAGTTATAGTTTTACTTTAAAAACTATATTGATGATTCATTTTGAGTCAATTTAATGTGTGTTGTGAAGATTAGATCAAACTTTATTTTTAAATGCATAAGTCAGTTTTTAAAACATCATCTATTGAGAAGTTTATTCTTTCTTCATTAGAATACTTTTGCATTTTTGCTAAAATATTTGGCCACATTTATGTGGATATATTTTCTTTATTTCCATATATATATATATACATATATATGTATATATATGTGTGTGTGTATGTGTTATATATAATCTCCTATATTAATTGTACTCTGTCTGTATTCTGGTAGAGTAAGTCTTTAGATAGCTATGTTTAGCTTTTTTATTCTATTCTACCCAGGAAGGAGGTTCACTGTGCCCCAGTTACCAACTTGTCTGATTCTGGTAAGACAGAATACCCATGAACACAGCAAGTTACATGAAATAGGCTTATTACTTGCATATAGGCAACAAGGGAAAACAGAAGCCAAGGATTCATTGTGAGCCATCCTTCAAGGCTCAGGAAAGTTGTCCAGGACAGATGGAGTCTTAAATCCATGTGCCCTGTTTGCACTGCAGCTGAGGGACCTCACATAGCAGCCAGCCCTGGGTTTTATACCCCACCAAATTGTGACACACTGGGCTAAAAGCATTGAAGAACATCATTTTCTAGAGGAAATGGAATAGAGCACAAGCTCTTCCAACTGGCTCCCCACTTATCTCAGGGTGTTACATTTCAGTATATTCCATAGCTATTATGGAAGCTACAAACAAGAAAGTGAAGATAAATGAGTCAGTCCAAGAACTATCCTGCATACTTTCTTAGATTTATATATAAGTTTTAGAGTTTGCTTGTAAAAACTTACAAAATCCTTGCTGGTTCTATAAATTGTGGTGGGGAAAATTAACATCAGTACTAGCTTGAGTTTTTTCAATTCATAAGCAAGTTATGTCTCTCCATTATTCAGGTCTCTTTTCATTTACTTCATCACATTTTGCAATTTTATGCATGCAATGCCTGCAGATTTTTTGATAAGAGACTGTCCAAGGTAAGTTTTAAAAATATGTTGTTTTTAATTGTTAGTATACAGAAATACAATTCATGTGTATGAGCTAATCTTTTATTCTGAAAACTTGTTAAACCTATTTTTTTGTAGATTCCTTGGGATATTCTATGTAGACGTTTACGTCTTTTCCAAAAAGGATAATTGAACTTTTCATTTATGATTTGTATGATTTGTATTTTCTTGCCTTATGGCACTGGCCTACACTTCTAGTAAAGTATTAAATAGGAATGTCACATGGACATCTTTGCATTGATTTGGACTCTACAGGAACATCATTTATCACTAAGTATATAATCATTATGGGTTTTTATAGATGTCTGTTTTTATTCCTAGATTAATGAATGTGTTTATCATAAATGAGTATTGAATTTCATCAAACTCTCTGTCAATTGATATGATAATGTCCTTTTGTTTTTTAAATTGTAAATATGATTATTACATTGATAGGTTTTTCAGTATCAACCAGCTTTACATTCTTCAGATAAACCTAACTTTATTATGTAATCTTATGAGTTTATGTATTGCTTGATTTGATTTGCTTATATTTTGTTAAGAATTTTTACACCTATATATATTTTGGATATTGGTCTGTAGATTCATTTTATTTTATTTTTGTGTCATTGTTTTCTTTTTTTTCATTCCATTTTTGTACTGTCTTTGGGTGGTTTTGGAATTAGAATAATGCTGGCTAAATTAACTGCTCCAGTATTCTGCTTTCCGGAAGAGATTGTTTCAAAATTGATACTATTTCTTCTATAAAGATTAGGTAGAGTTTACGATTGAAACCATCATTGATCAGATGTTTCTTTTCAAAATTTTTTAACTTAAATTTTTAAAAGATATATTGGATTGTATATGTTATTTGTATCATCTTTTCTATGTTCATGATTTATGGGGAAATTAATTAATTTTATTTTGTTGAATTTATGAGAACAGAGTTGCTCAAGATATGACCTTATGCTTTTATTGTCTGTACATCCTAGTTATATTTTTTCCTTCTTCCCTACTATTGACAAGTTGTATCTTCCTTCTTGCTAAATACCTATCAACTTCATCTTTTTAAAGAATCTGATTTCAGCGTCATTTATATTTTTCTCTGTTTTAATTCGAAATATCATTTTTTCTTCTCTTATTTACTTTTTCTTACTTAATTTGGCTTAGTTTTCTAAAGCTTAAAGTAATAATAAAAGATAAGCATTTGCTGTTTTTTTTTTCTGTACATGTATTTTTTTGTAGCATTTTGAGAAACAGGATGAATTTTTAAAGACAGGATTTTTACTACATGAATTCTGTCTCCAAATATCACCATGAAATACCAGCAAAACTTACCTTCCCATACATTTTTAATATATTTACGTTCATATACATATCTAGACCAGTATGGAAGTAAAAGCTGGGAAGGGGAACAAGTTCTAGTGAGCTATTAAATAGCATGATAACTACAATCAGTTATAATATATCAAACATTTCAAAATTACTGGAAGAGCAGATCCTTACACGTTCTTGCCATAAGGAAAAGGTAAGTATGTAAAGTGACAAATATGTTAATTACTTTATTTAATCGATCCATGATGTTTACATGTAACATCACATTTTACTCCATAAATATATAAAATTATTATTTTTTAATTAAAAATACAATTCAAAAAAGAATTATGTTTCACTTTTTGGCCAATGTTTTTCAACTCTGAATGCATATTAGAATTATCTGAAGAGCTTTAAGAAATTTTGAGGCCCATGCTAACAAATATTAATTTAATCAGGATATTTGTGCATCATTATTACTTAAAGCTCTCCATGTGATTTTAATATAAAGTAAGTTTCATGGAAATTAATATAGACCCACATAACCCAATGAAATAAGTATATATGTGTATTCATGTAACAACAAAATTTTAAAATATGATGTGATAAAATATTAACATTTTGGAAGAATTGGCCCCTTTGATTTTTTTTCCTCATATGTGAGAGGAAGGAAAAGGGGAAGAAATATTTGGCTGAAAGAAATTGAGAAAATAATTCAAATTATACTAGGGATTTTCTCAGATTAACATTTTACTGCCAGTTGCACTGTGCTTTTATTTTTTAAATTTCCATCAACTGAAGAATGATGGGGTTCATAAATTTGGAAAGGAGAACTTTATTTATTATGAAGAGTTGCAGCCTGCGAAGTGGCCATTATGACTGGTTGGGAAGCATAGGCTCTAACCAGAAGCCAGAATCACACACTTCAAGAGCAGGAAGTATAAGACAGGAATTTAGGCTGAGGAGGGTGGTAAGATATACATATTCAATAAACTGTAGTAGGGCTAATGAATGTTTACAAAAGGAGAAATGTGCATATGCATAATTAAACTTCATGTCTCTCCATGGGGCCTAAGTTAAAAAAAAAAAGGTGGCATTTCCATGATTCAAAGGTGGTATTTTCGGACCTCTGACATCAAAAGAAGAAGCAGAGGACATAAGAACTCTCTTAGTACATACTGCGTAGACTGGCCAGAACAACTCTGTCATTGGTGGTCTCTTATAAGGCAGGAATGCTGGTTGGTGGTTTTGTAAAAACTGCAAAAGGGAGGAGCAGCATCAACTCACTAGTTGATATCACAGGTGGAGTGAGTCTTTCCAAAGGGCTGGTTTCTGTTTAACTCTTAGGGAAGAAAGGCTAAAGGCAGTTAGTACAAGAAGGGGAATAATGAAGCATGTCCAACCTCCCTTTCTGTCATGGCCAGGAACTCAGTTTTCAAAGTTTCTCTGGGGTTTCCATGACCAAGAGGGGGTCCATTTGGTCAGCTGCGGGGGCTTATGATATCACTTTTATTTCTCATTTCTACGGTCTTTGAACATGCCCTTTCTGAGGTACAATTCTCATTACATGGAGGGTCTCAGTTTCGTGGAAGGGCAAAATTTTTGTAATTCTGTCTTTTTGAGATACTGACAAAATAGTCTGCTAAGTGTAGTATGAATTTACTGAGTTTCTGTAATACTCAAGTCTCTGCTAAGTGTTGATAGATAATTTAAAAAAGAACAAAACAAAGCCAACAAAATACTCAATACAGTCTTGCTATTAAAAATCCAATCACCCTGTGTACAAAAGCAAGATTTACACATAAGGCAATAAGTTCCAACATGATCAATACAAAAAATGGAAGGAATAGTAAATGGGCAAGATATTTGACAAAGAATACACAGTCTATAATTAGGCACTTCTAGTTTTAAACTTTAAACAAAAATTTACTCTTTTAATTAAAAAAAGAGTTATTCACATTTTCTGGTGTGTTATCTCAGTATTCTGCACATACAACAAACATAAGATGATATTATAATTATTTGTGTGTTTATCTCTATGTCTAGGCTGATAGTTACAGGATGAGATTAATTACAAATTTAAATTTTTAATCTTTAGTGACTGGAGACAGCAATAAATTTAATAAATATTTCTCGGATAAATAAATAAATGTATTTCTTCAATATGCCTCACTAAATAATCTACATAAAATATTTTGGGAGCTTCTAATATCTAAAATATTTGAACTAATATTTGATCAACACTATTTTCCATATATTCTAAAATCATGAGTATATACTGGCATTAAAAAATGCTGCACTAACTCCATGTGAAATCAGATACTGATCTGAACATTTGCTCTGAAATTATACAACTTTAAGGAGCCATGTTTTCATGTCTCTGAGCTAGTGACTTTACTGATTTTCATCTGACACCTGAAATCTATCTATTCTGTTCTTTTTCTTTTGCCTATTTAAATTCCCAATAATGTATGCTTTCTTCTTACATGAAAAATTGTCAACCATTTCCATTTGGTAAAACAAGGTGAGTTCAATATCACTTTTTGTCCCTTCAAATTTTATTTTACATTTCTGGGTATATGTGCAGGATGTGCAGGTTTGTTACGTAAGTAAACCTGTGCCACGGTGGAACCCTCAACAGATCAATTCATTACCTGGGTATTAAGCCCAACATCCATTAGCTATTCTTCCTGATGCTCTCCCTCCCCTTAACCCCGTCTACGAACCCTAGGTTGTGTTGTTCCCTGCCGTGTGTTCATGTGTCCTAATCATTCAGTTCCCACTTATGAGTGAAAACAGTCTGTGTTTGGTTTTCTGTTCCTATGTGATTTTGCTGAGGATAATGTCTTCCAGCTCCATCCATGTCCCTGCAAAGGCCATGTTCTAATTCATTTATGTGGTTGCATAGTATTCCATAGTGTACATGTATTATACATTTTCCTTCTCCGGTCTTTCACTGATGGACAGTTGGATTGATTCCATGTCTTTGCTATTGTGTATAGTGCTGCAATAAACATATGCATGCATGTATCTTTATAATAGAATAACTTATATTCCTTTGGATATATGCCCAGTAATGGAATTGCTGGGTCAACTGGAATTTCTGCTTTTAGATCTTTGAGGAATTGCCACCACACTGTCTTTCACAATAGATGAACTAATTTACACTCCCACCAACAGTGCAAAAGTATTCCTTTTTCTCTGCAAACTTGCCAGCCTCTATTGTTTGGACTTTTTAATAATCGTCATTCTGACTAGTGTGAGATGGTATCTCTTCAATATCATGAAAATGGCCATACTGCCGAAAGTAATTTATAGATTCAATGTTATTCCCACTAAACTACCATTGACATCCTTCACCAAATTAGAAAAAATTATTTTAAAATTCATATGAAACCAAAAAGAGCCTGAATAGCCAAGACAATTCTAAGCAAAAAGAACAAAGCTGGAAGCATCATGCTACCAGACTTCAAACTATACTGCAAGACTACAGTAATCAGAGCAGCATGGTACTGGTACCAAAAGATACACATAGACCAATGGAAAAGAATAGAGAACCCAGAAATAAGACCGCATACTTACAGCCATCTGATCTTTCACAAACCTTATCGAAACAAGCTATATGGATAATAAATGGTGCTTGGAGAACTAGCTAGCCATATGCAGAAAATTGAAACTGGACTCCTTTCCTATACCTTGTACAAAAATTAACTCAATATGGATTAAAGGCTTAAATGTAAAATCCAAAACTATAAAATCACTAGAAGAAAACCTAGGAAATACCATTTAGGACATAGGCACAGGCAAAGATTTCATAATGAAAACACCAAAAGCAATTGCAACAAAAGCAAAAATTGGCAAATGTGATCTAATTAAACTAAAAAGCGTCTGCACAGCAAAAGAAACTATCATCAGGGTGAACAGACAAACCTACAGAATGGAAGAACATTTTTGCAATCTATCCATCTGGCAAAACCTACAAGGGACTTACATAAATTTACAAGAAAAAAACAAACAATCTCAATAAAAGTAGTCGAAGGACATGAACAGATACTTCTCAAAAGAAGACATTCATGCGCCCAACAAACATGAAGAAAAGCTCACCATAACTGATCATTAGAAAAATCAATATCACTTTCAATAAAACTTGCAAGTATTCTTTTTTTGTAATTGTTGCCAATTTCTCTTTTTGCTGATGACCATAAATTCTGCTTTATATGGTGGAAATTATAAATAATGTATGTAGGGTATAATAACAGTATATGTTATTCAAGAGAAAGCAGGAAATAAACATGAAGTGTGGTTTGGGATTGAAGGAATAAAAAGGAGCTACGCCGAATGACGGAGAGACCTGTGGTTAGGTAATGTATATAAAGTTACAGATATGAGTAGTTCCTGAAAGAAGAAACTGTATATGAAGGATACCAGAGAGAAAAAGCCACATCTGATGGTTGATTTTATGTGTGGCTAAAGAAATGGAAAGGGAAAAGGCAACTGTGTTTCTTAGTTCCTATTGTCGGCTTCTTTTTCTTAGTCTATTCCTAAAATTAGATTAATGTCACCCAAGAATCGGTTTTTGATCTATTTCTTTTTCTCAACATATCAGCAGGCAATTTCCTGTGCCCTTTTGTTTTATACCATTTTGTACTTTCATACCCCCGAGTTTGAATTTCCAGCCTAGATCCTATATTGATCCCTAAACAATTGAAACTGACCAACAAGTGATCATTTTTACTTGGGTTTTTATTTAGACTTCAAATGCAATGCTTAACCAAGTTTATTACTTATCCTCCAAATTTAGTATTCCTTCATTATTATTTTCTCAGGGTCTAGCAATAGTATTTATTAGAGACGAGGAAAAATTTCTGTCACATTTATTGTTTACTTTCACATTTTAATTTTCATCCACACCTATTTGCATGTGTTTCTGTTGGCATGTTGAGTTTTAAAGTTATGATAAATCAACAGTAAAACTTATTCTTTATGTAGAAATAAATAAGGGTTTAAAATAAGTGTGGCTGGAATTGGGATATTACTTTGGTATTAATAGTGCATTAAATTAGAATACTATTTCAGTAAAGATTGGAAATAGTAGACTCTAAAAATCTATGTATTCTGTACATATTTGATGACTTATAAAATTTTCAAGAGAGTTTATTCAGATTTTCAAAAGTGAAATTACTGACCCAAATTATTGTTTCAGTTGTTCCAATATCCATAACGTTAAATATCAACTCTAATATTAGTTTAAATAGTCTTGGCTGCAAGTATTATGGTATTTTATGTGATATTAAATATTTTATTAAAAATAAAAACATCACAGTACTATAAAGATTTTCTTGGCTGCCCATTTTCAAATGCTGTTTAACAAAGATTAGGTCATTATCTTTGAGGATTGAGCTGTCACACTGTGATCTGACTACAAGGAGAGGAAAGAGTGTGTGTTATATTGACAGTTATTTAGCAGCCTTTGTACTGAAGAGGTCTGGAGATATTTAAGGACAAGGAAAAGGAAAACAAGCATGGAAAATACTGCTTTTAGAGGATATCACAGAAAAATCTTCACTATACTTAAATGTTTCTGTGTTTTTTTACATTACATATGAAATCAAATACTGGTTCTATTTACTATGCCATCACTGCTCATGATGTAATATGTATTCCAATTCCTGAAAACTACAAACTACATAGCCATTATCAATTGTAGTCTAATTGAAACATGATTTAATTTTGCCTTTGGGAATGTGAAATTCAGCAATGGTGTTGACTTTTTAAGAACATTTTTCAACATGTGTCAAAGAAAATTATGACAATAAAGTAGGAAAAAAGCATAGTTTGGAAAGTAATAGGATTATTCTGAATCTATCAATAGCCATTTAAATAAGACAATTTTAAAATGTCTATCAAGGTTTCAAGTCTTAGAAGAGTCTCAACAAGTTCAAACACTGAGATATTTATGAAATAAAAGGTTATCAGTGCTAAAAATATAGTACAAATTAGGGGAAAAATTGGATTTCATAAATTGCATTTCATACACCCCTGGATGCAATCACATCCTTTATTTTAATTGACTGAAATGAATCAACAAAGTGAGTATGTTGCTAATATTTGGAATAAAATTTAGTTTTCAAATTATTAGAGGTTTATATAAAAATATTGCAATCTATCTTTTCTTTATAGAAATATTATATTAAATAATTTTATATTATATTAAATATTATATTAAATAATATGATGATAGAGAAGAAAAAACAAAAATACAAGACAAATACCAGATACAGAATATATCTGGTGCTCTGATTTCCTTACACAAGAAACACCTCTTATTTTATTATCCATTTATTAACAGAGAAATATATTAGTCATTATATTACATACCACATATTACAACCTAGTATGGGTTGTACTCCTACTAACCTGAAAACCAGATCAAAGTGATTTTTATAGCAGACAAAAATCAATGTTATACAATGAGAAAACATGGAGACATCACACAATGGGGCCTGTCGGAGGTTGAGGGGCAAAGGGAGGGAGAGCATTAGGACAAATATCTAATGTATGCGGGGCTTAAAACCTGGTGATGGGTTGATAGGTGTAGCAAACCACCATGGCACATGTATATCTGTGTAGCAAACCTGCACATTCTGCACATGTATCCCAGAACTTAAAGTTAAAAAAAAATCAGTGTTATATACAATAGGCATTAGATATTCATGTTTTCACTGAGAATTCTACTAAAACCTGGGCATCAATGTATCTTTCCATAGAGTCTGGTTTCTTATCAACCTTGTGAATGGCTGGTTCTATATATAATTCTATAATGTAATGAAAATGGGATCAACCTCTCTGTTATTACTCTTTATGTCCACTGTCTTTCTCTCATAACTGAGAAACTTTCTTTAATACTATACCCTCCCATGCCATCTTTCATACTTGGCACTACTTCCACTTCAATTAGATTGCTTGCTTCTCTTTCTGACAACCCAAATAAAAGTGCAGAGAGTTCACATTAATGATATGCCAGAGCTGTTCACACATGTCTATTCTTAATGACCTATTCTAAAATTCACTCACCACTCATATTACAATACCCTTGTTACAGTCTTCAAATTTAAATCATGTCCCACTCTCTGCAATATAATTCTAATTTCTCCCTCACAGATTGTTCAAGATTGTTCTCCCCATCTCCTAACCCAGGCATTTAAAACATCTAATGTGTACTGGTCTGGATGCAGCATCTGTTTGAGGGATTCCATCCTCAGTGATGAATCTGATCTCATGTTATCTTTGTTGATCCCATCCCAGGGCAGTCTGTGTCTCTTTTAGAAGGATTGGATGTTCTGTGTTATGAGGGAGTCTGAGGTGCTACACTCATCCCCTGTTCATGAGTGTAATTGTAGATATATTCATGCTGCCTTCTTTGGACGCTACTCCTGTGTTCTCATAGCAACATATAAAGCTGTTGGAGCCAAAGAGTTAGATATATTTTGCTAATTATCTAAACTGACTATGGATAAATAATTTAATGATGTAGGTTTCAGCTACATTAAAATTCCTTTTAATGTAATACCTCAGAACAATGACTAATATATTTCTCTGTTAATAAATGGATAATACAATAAGAAGTGTTTCTTGTGTAAGGAAATCAGAGCACCAGATATATTCTGTATCTGGTATTTGTCTTGTATATTTGTTTTTTCTCCTCTATCATCATATTATTTAATATAAATCTTGCTTTCATTGTTATAATTTATATCGTAAGTCCTCTCGTGATCTGGATATAAAGGCTTTTTGTTTCGTAAGGATTTTTTCTACCTACTGCTGCTTACAAATGGAACCAAAATCCAAACTGAGAGCTGAGAGAAATGTTTCAGCCTCTGGTAATGAATATTTAGATGTTTTGTTTCTGAAACATTTTAAAAAATAATTATAATTTATGGCTTTACTTGAAACATCTAAAAAGAGAAATATACAAGGTTTTGTTAATGTTTTGTTTCAGGTACTTATTTTATTTGGGAAGACATGGTCACATATCATAAATTGTTAAGCTCTGAGTACTTTATTTTGAAGTTTTCAGCACAGATAAATATCCAGCTATTATTAAAGCTGGATATGGTCCTTTAGCCCATGTATCTGCAGCTCATCTCAGTGACAGCCAATGTTTAACTAAATAATATTATCTCCATCCAGAGTTATGAATCTGTTCATATTTAAGGCATAAAGCATATTTTCAATTTTCTTACCTTTACAACATTCACTACAATGAATTTATTTTATTACTTACACTTTTTTACTTCTGTGAAAATTTATTATATTTATATAGCAATAGGGATGCCTCTAATGAGACTTATAAGTAATTCTGAAATCATGCAATGACACTTCACTGCAGGTTGTATTCTGGTTTTAAGTTTTTTTCTATTCTAGGATGGATCATACCCAAAAAGGAGATTTCACAGAAATGGCAGCAAAGCTTCCCATGACAGATTGGATATCGCATGTTCAGCAGAATCTCTTTGTCTTGATACCTAGCTTTAGAAAAGCCAATTGCATCTAGAATGTGCAAAGAGAAATCTCTAAGAGAAAACTTTTTAAAAACTTCAAGTCCTTTGAAGATCTAACACTTAAAATGTTTATCACAAAAATTTTTCAGATACCCTATCCCTTTTTAATTTTCCTATACTCACACAATTATAAGAAACTGTGATGGACCAAATGTATGTATCAGTTAGACACATTTAAGATAACTGAAACTGAAGCTCTACTAAATTTGTAAGAAAAATAAGACCAAACAAAAAGCTTACTTTTGAAATGGAGACTTCTCAAACAAGATAATATTTTCTGTTTCCAAAATTTACTCGCAATCTAAAATAAACCTTAGATCTCAGTTGTAAATATTAGAAACTTGTCTGAATCTAGACCCCACAGTTAAGGAAAATTCCCTATAATTCTTATGGACCGTCTCTGAAATCCCTATATTTCCTCAGAGAAATTATGTCCAAAATAGTGTAACTTCTTAAAATATCTTCAATCGTTCTTCTGGTTTATTCCAATGAGTATTTAAACATGCACAATTATCTATCATCAAAAATCAAATGAAACAAAAATTGTGAAAGTAATTGTACTGTAAATATTTTGTAACATAGAAATATATGAAAGGAAAATAATGGAACACTCCAAAAATTATACTTACTACATAGCTTTATCAAATGCTATTATTTTCCATACTTACAATAGTTACAATTAAATAAATAAAATTATTTATTAGGAAAGATGCTCAGACAGCAGTCTTCTGGTGTCTTTTTTATGCTTCCTCCACCAGAGGCAAGATGTACCTGAATTTAATGTTTTTAGAAACTATGCTTGTTGTATGTACCTTGTTCTATGTATCTATAAATATTCTATA
Organism: Homo sapiens; assembly: GCF_000001405.40. Taxonomy (NCBI): domain Eukaryota; kingdom Metazoa; phylum Chordata; class Mammalia; order Primates; family Hominidae; genus Homo; species Homo sapiens. The sequence goes on along the minus strand of NC_000006.12, from coordinate 102,595,677 downwards.
TATCTGTAAAAATTATTGGAAATAGCGTTTATGCTTTCCAAACTTTACATTAAAGTAGCAACATACTGCAACTCAACATTATTGTATAGCGATTATTAATTTTGATATAAGATTATTTAAAGAATCCCTAGTTTATTTCAACAGCATATGAGCATTCCGCTTATGATACCATCAATATATAAAATTATTTACAATGAAAGGATATTTTATATACATTTATAATATATGTTTTATTATTTGTTATTGAAAATAATGCTGTAATAAACATTGTTGAACACGAGTCCATGTGGTTATTTCTAGAATTTCTGAAGGGTATACCCTTCAGAGAAATATGGGTGGAATGACTGTCTTGCAAATTTACCCAATGATGATAAGTTGTTTTCCAAAGAATTTGTAAACTTTCATCCCTCATATTAGTATGTGATAGTTCCCACTTTCCACATCTTTTAAACAACTTGAAATTGACAGAATTTAAAAATTCTGTCAATTTGAAGGATTAGATTATTGTGTGCATTTCTCAGACTACCAGAGAGAATGGATATATCTTCAAATGTTCACTGGCCTCTCAACTAACCCTTGAGAATCATTATTTTCATTATATATATATATATATTTTGCTTTCTTTTTCCTCATTTTATGTCTTTCACGTGGTCTGAATGTTTTCTAAATACTAATTTTTGTTGTTTAATATGCTGCAAATGCATTAGCTCCGTTTTTCTTTATACTATTTTATTTTATTTAAACATTTAATGTAAATTTATTAGTATTTTATTATCTGTTTCCTTACCTTGTTTAAGAAATTATTGCTTATTATAAACTATTGTATATCTTTGTCTAATATTTTAAAATGCTACTTCTCATATTACAAGGTTTTTGAGCTACTTATGCATTTTTTGCATGTATGTCGGAATCTAATTTTATTTTGCTTCCATATGGAAAACCATTTTTTAGCATCACATATTGAATCCTTAATTAATTTCCATTGGTTTGCAATGCAACCTCTGTCATACATGAACTTTTTATATTTACGTAGAATTATTACCAGGTATTTTTCTAGTCTTTATTCACTAAATATTCTGTATCACAGACATTTTTATATTTTTTATCACAGTTATTTTTTACTGTGTAAAGTTATACTGGATTTTTCATTGTGATTTTATAACATGAAGGAAGTTTTTTTTCCTTCAAAATACTCTGGTTTATGTTACATAGCAAAGGTAATAAATGCAATTTACTATATGCAAAAAAAATGGACGAATCTCACAAACATTAATAGTGTGCAAAAGAGGCCAGATGCAGAAGAATATTTGCCATATGATTCCATTTAGATAAATTCAAGCAGTCAAACTAGTCTGTGATGTTAGAAGTCAGAATTGTGGTTATTCCTAGGGGAAAGATATGACTGAAATAGAGCAAGAGGTGGGTGGGAAGCTCCTAACTTCTGCTGGCCTTCTTGTCTGGGTAGAGGTTACATAAGTGCTCACTTTGTAAGAATGTATTGAGCTGTATGTGTACTTTTAAGTGTTTAAGTGATATCTAAATATACAATTTACATAAAAATATCCTTTGCTATTCTTGACAATAGTGCTCAGTCATTCTTGAGAATCTTTCCTATAACTGCCTCTTTTTCACATTTTATTCTTGCCTAAACTCATTGTGATCTGATTTCTTCCCTCAGGTAACTACTGACGATGCTCTTGCTAAATTCAACAGTAATTTTGCTTTAGAATTGTTTTATGTAAACCACAAGAATAAACTGGTTAGTTGTTCTCTCATCAGCACAAGCGGTAGTTGAATGCCTTCCTTAATAAAATATTCTGCTGTTCTTTTAGGTTTTATGATAACAGAATCTCTTCCCTTTCTGCCTACACATCAGATCACATTTATTTTAGTATTTATCATTGGCCTTTCTTGCCCCGCCCATCTGAATGTGGTTATTTCTTACACCATTTCTTCCTGGGTCCCCTAATCTGTTTGGTCTCTCTCATTTCCCTGAGTGTTTGCTTTTACTGCTAGATCTTCAATTGCCATCTGTATAATGTATGGGTGAATAACTCTAAGGCCTAAGTCTAGTTTTATTGCATTATGGTCAGAAAAGATACCATATATACATATATGGTATTTGGAGTATCTGTCATATTGAATATTCATGATTTTGATGCGTTGGGTACATCTCAAGTCCTCTTTTCTAGCTATTTTGAAATGTGAAATACATTGTTTTTAAATATAATTACCCTACTTTGCTTCCAAACTATTAGAATTGATTTCTTCTATCTAACTATGTTTGTGCATACTAACCAATCTCTCTTCATCCCACCCTCACACACATCCTTCCCAGCCTATGGAAACTATCATTCTCCTCTCTGCCTCCATGAGATCAACTTTTGTAGCTCTCACGTATGAGTCAGAACAAATGATATTTGTCTTTTTGTTCCTGTCTTATTTTACCTACCGTAATGACCTCCAGTTTCACCCAGTTGCTGCAAATGGCAGGATATTATTCTTTTTTTATGGCTGAGAAGAATTCTGTTGTGTTATATATATATAATATATATTATATATTTATATATGTTCTATATATATAATATATTTATATGTTTTATATATATTTATATTTTATATATGTTCTATATATAATATATAATATATATTATATTATATATGTTTTATATATTATATATCTTTTATTAATATAATATATTATATATTATATGTTTTATATATATAATATGTGTTTTTATATATATGTTTTATACATAAATGTATAATATATATTATACATTTATATATAAAATATAAATATATAATATATATTATACATTTATATATAAAATATAAATATATAATATATATTATACATTTATATATAAAATATAAATGTATAATATATAATACATTTATATATAAAATATAAATATGTAATATATATTATACATTTATATATAAAATATAAATATGTAATATATATTATATATTTATATATAAAATATAAATATATTTATATATATGTTTTATATACATATATGTGTATATATACATATACATATATGTATACACATACATATATGTATGTATATATACATAAATATGTATGTATATACATATATGTATATGTATATATACATACATATATGTATATACATATATATGTATATATATTTATATATTTATATATATATGTTTTATATATAAATATATATGTTATATATGTTTTATATATAAATATATATGTTATATATGTTTTATATATAAATATATATGTTATATATGTTTTATATATAAATATATATGTTATATATGTTTTATATATAAATATATAATATGTTATATGTTTATATATGTTTTATATATAAATATATCATATATTTATATATGTTTTATATATAAATATATCATATATTTATATATGTTTTATATATAAATATATCATATATTTATATATGTTTTATATATAAATATATCATATATTTATATATGTTTTATATATAAATACATAATATGTATTTATATGTTTTATATATAAAAATATATTATATATTTATATATGTTTTATATATAAAAATATTATATATTTATATATGTTTTATATATAAAATATATATTTATATATGTTTTATATATAAAATATATATTTATATATGTTTTATATATAAAATATATATTTATATATGTTTTATATATAAAATATATATTTATATAAGCTTTTCTTTATCCAGTCATATGGTGATGGACACTTAGATTCCATATATTTGCTATTGTAAGTAATGATGTGATAAACATGGCGATGCAGATATCCCTTTGATATATTTATTTCATTCCCTTTAGATAAATAACCTAGTAGTGGAATTTCTGGTAGCACACTAAAGTTCTATTTTTAGTTTTTTGAAAAATCTTCAGACTGTTTTCCCTACACTAATGTCTGTACTAATTTACATTCCCATCAACAATGTATAAGCGTTCCCTTCTCTCTGCACCCGTGTCAAGCATGCTTTTTTTTTTTGTATTTTTTCTAATAGTCATTCTAACTGGAGGACCATGATATGTCATTGCGTTTTTAATTTTCATTTTACTGATAATTAGTAATGTTGAGAGTTTACCATTTCTTTATCTTCTTTTGAGAAATGTCCATTTATGTATTTGCCCACTTTTTAATGGACTTGTTTGTATTTTTTGGCTATTGAATTGAGTTTTTTGTAAAATCTGGATATTAGTCTTGAGTTTAATGAACACTTTGCAAATATTTTCTTCCATTCAACAAGTTGTCGCTTCACTCTTGATTTTTCCCTCGTGGTGCAGAAACTTTCCAGTTTAATATAGTCTCATGTGTCTATTTTTTTTCTGTTTTCTGTGCTTTTGAGGTCTTAGCAGTAAAATATTTGCCTAGACCAATTTAGTGATTCCTATATGTTTTCTTCCAGTACTTTTATATTGTCAGGTTTTATGTTTAGAGCTTTAATCCATTTGAGTTGATTTTTGTACATGGTGAGAGATTCAGGTCTAGTTTTCTTATTCTGCATATAAATGTCCAGTTTTTTTCAGTAGCATTTATTGAAAAGGCTGTCCTTTCTCCAACGTATATTGTTGGCACCTTTGTCAAAAATCAGGTAGCTGTAAACATATGGATTTATTCCTAGGTTCTGGTATTCTAGGTTCCTGGTATACCAATTTTATACCAATACCATGCTTTTTTGTTTGGTAAAGGCTTGCAGTATATTTTGAAGTCAGATGATGGGATGTCTACCTCCACCTTTGTTCTTATTGCTGAGAATTGTTTTGTCTATTTGGGCTCTTTTTTCATTCCATATGAATTTTAGGATTGTTTTATTCTTTCTGTGAAAAATGACTTTGGTATTTTGATAGGGATTCCTTTGAGTTGGTAGATTGCTTTAGGAAATATGGTTATTCTAAAAATATTAATTTTTAAAATCCATGAGTATGAGATGTTATTTCATTTGTTTTTATCCTTTTCAATTTCTTTCATCAGTATTTTTCCTTGTAGATATTTTTCAACTTTTTGGTAAAACATATTTCTGGGTTTTTATTGTTTATTTTTGGAAACTACTGTCAATAGAATAGCCTTCTTGACATCTTTCTCAGCTGGTTTATTATTGGTGTATAGAAGTGCTACTGAATTTTGTGTGTTAATTTTGTATTCAGTCATTCAAATCATGGTATTCTTAATAGCTATATATGGATAATACTAAGTTTTCATCCATAGCTGGCAATTTCTTAAAGTTTGTCAGGAGAATATCAGATATCATCAATGACAAAAGTGCAAAAACATTGAATTTTTCACGTATTTAGAATCTTTGTATTTTCTAGGCCAGTCTCTGTTATGAATTAAAAACATGTGTTTTACTTTGTTATTATTTATAATCCAGAATGCTAGAATGTCTTCTTTTCGCACACTTAATAATGATAAATGTGAAGCTTTCATCTCCAGTTTATCATGTCAGGAAAATTAGCCAGTAGAATAAACTCCTACTGTATTACACATCATTATCTAGATGTTAACATTTACAGTTTTTCAGTTTTTTAAATTACATTTCAAAGTCAATTGATGTCATAAAGTACAAAAAACTAATGAAATACTAAGTATGTCACAGAATTAATAACTATTCGTTAGAGGACTGAAGCTGCTACTATAAATTTGGGGGCAAAACTGTTAAGTTTGACATACAAATCTGAGTCTTAAAAAATGTGAAAACCCTTTCTGAACATTAACAACATTTTTCCTCATAGAAATGAGTTTACCTACATGAATAAAAACGTTAACTGTTATTGGAATTTTCTCTCCATGTGAAGGTATTTCACAGGTTTGAAAACTGTGAATTTTAGTGTTTGCATTCTATGAGAGTTTTGCAAATGACAAGAATCATTTAATGAGCAATAGAAACTTGGAAATTGCTAATAAATTCCAATATTTTGCCAACGTTGAAAATGCTTTAGTTCCACTTTATTTTTGTCAGTACACTAAGGAACGTTTAATTATTTCGTATATGATTATGACTCATTCCACTTAGAATTTCACAAAAACTATAAGATTGGCATAAGAGGAAGTATATACATATATACAGCTGAGTTTCATATTTTACTGCCTACATGAAAATATTTGCTCCTTTTCTTATTAGACTGATATCATAATTAACACTAACTTTACAATGGTTAAATAAAATACATGGAAATATAATTACCATTGGACTTATAGTAGTATAAAAATCAACTGATTATTAAGCATAGATTTAAATAGACTAATGATTTTAATCTTTGTAGGGCTTAATTGTCAAAAGAGCCATCATAACATACTATATCAAAGATGTTAGCAAAAGAAATATATGCATGTCAGTCAGACAGCCTATCATACTGGGTGTGGTAGTATATGCCTGTAGTCCTAGATACGCGGGTCGCTGAGGTGAGAGGACTGCTTGAGCCCAGGAGTTTGAAGTTATAGTGGGCTATAATCATGCCACTGAACTCCAACCTGGGCAACAGAGCAAAAGTTTGTCTCAAAAAAATTTAAATAAATAAATAAATATCAGGAAAAATTATACCAATTCTTTTAACACAAATAAACAAAAAAATAGTTATCAATGATTAAACCATCAAATAAGAAAAAAAAGAACACTAATATAATAATACAAATATAGGAATTGTAGGACATGGATGCCAGTAAAGAGCAAAGGCAGAAAGTATTAAGATGAAGAAACTTGTAGGGGGGTCCTGCAGAGTTTAAACTCAGACTCTTGATAAGGGGCTGCTGTCAAGTTGCTGTTGGTCTCATGTCTCTGACCTCAAAAGAAGGTCTTTGTGAAGCTGAGATCCAGTCTCATAACAAGGGAGCACTGGTCAACTGGTATGGGCATTTTTAAGAGGCAAATAAAATTGGCCCTAAGGGTGTAGACAACTTGCAAAATGAATTCAACTCCTGATTGGGAACAGACTGCTATTAATATTACTGAGATGAAGAAACATTGAGAGGGTGATGTCGACAGTAACAGAAAGTACAAATGAAAGGGGTAGTCTTTTTACGTCCAGTTTACCCATCTCCTTCTATTAGAAGAAAATAATGGAGAACAACTGTTAAAGCAGAAATTGGTTTGAAAGTCCTAGTCTCAGGATCATTGAAGCTGTGTATAGAAGGGTGGATTTGAAGCTGAGAGTGACAATAGCTTAGGAACTGGCAGATAAGGGACAAAGTTTGAAACTTTTAAAAAACACATATATATATTTCCTAAAGAATATATGTGTGCAAATGCAGGGATGACTACCAACATACAAATATACATATATGTTTTTATATGTAACTTTATTATATGAACATGTATATATCCATGTATACACACGTACATACTTTAAAAAATATATATGGTATTAAAACTATATAGATAGAAATATATAATTATATGTGTGTATATTGAAAACTAGCTACATGACACACAGTTTTAATGTCAAATTCAGGAAATAGATACCTCCTAAATGACACAATTGACCTCTTAAGTGGTGAGAATGATATCTGATGATTCTACAAAGGAAAAACAATAGTGATATAGTCTTTACCAATTTTAGAAAATTAAGAAAAAAAAAGAAAACCTAAAATTTTATTCCAACAAATGTTACTTTAAAACAGCTTCACTTTAATAAAAAAAAATTGGATCTAACCTGAAAATTCACGTCATACGGAGTTTTGCTAATAAATTCAGTGCCACAACCTTTAAAACATATCAAACATTTTTCTTTAGAGGATGTAAATATATCAAATTATGGTCAAGCGATTTGAAAATTTATCAAAGAGGACTAAAATGAATATTTGAAAAGATTTAACATAGTCCTAGTTCTAAGGTTGTTTAAACAAACTTATCTTAAATTAATGAAAGAAATATAATATTCTGGTTTTATTTCCTTTGCTTTTTGTTCACATTTCTTTACCTACATAATGGAAATTATAGTTAAACTTAATTTTAGGCACATTTAATTAAAAGAGGAATGAAAAAATAATTATTCAGCTAATGAGAGAAGATCAATGAGACAATTAATGATGAAAGAAAGTTAAATTATGCTATATTTCAATAATTCTATCATATATGAGTTTTGGAGGTAATATAGTAAATGATCTCATCCTCTTTTATTGTTTTTCTAGATTATTCAGGTAAGATAGAAAACGTAAACAGAAAATTATAAATAATTGTTTTAAATGACTAATCAATTCAATGAAAAGGAAAATTTTCTGGCATAATAAATTTCCTACTATAAGGTGCTTTTAAAAGGCTCACTTTAATTTTAAAGACATGTAGAAAGTTTTTAAAAAGTGATTATAAAACTATACACTGAGCAAACTTTAAGCATAAAAAGTTTATTATTTATCTGATATTAATATCAAAGTAGAGATGAAGACAAGAAAAACTAGCAGAAATAAAGGAGATAAATTTTGAATAATAAAAGTGTTAGGCTGGGCATGGTGGCTCATGCCTATAATCCTAGAACTTTGGGAGGCCAAGGTGGGAAGATCACTTGAGGCCAAGAGTTTGAAACGAGCGTGGGCAACATACTGAGATCCCAGCTCTACAGAAAGTTAAAAAAAAAAAAAAAAAAAGTGGGTGTGGCGATGCACACCTATAGTCTTAGCTACTCAAGAGGCTGAGGCAGGAGGACTGCTTGAGTCCAGGAGTTTAAGACTGCAGTGAGCTGTTATGGTGTCACTGCACTCCAGCATGAGCAACAGAGGAAGAGCTTGTTTCAAAAATTAATAATAAAAATAAAAAATATGTCAATTTATCACCTAGTAGAGAATTTCAAACTAAATTTGAGAGATCCAAGAGATAAGGAAATTCATCCAAAATCATAATTGCGTATTTTAAAATATCACTCTTCAGTAATTCAGAAAACAGTAAAAAAAAATCAATTAGTTGTGCAAAATAAAAATAACATTCACCGAATTGATCTAATTCAGTTGTCCAAGTTTATACTAAGTAAGTGAGGATACCATTCTTTCAACATGCGCAAGTAATATTTACTGAATGTAACCATTTGCAGGGATGTAAAAAAGTCTCAATAGGCTGGGCACAAGGGCCAATGCATGTAATCCCAGCATTTTGGGAGGCTCAGGCAGGAGGATTGCTTGAGCCCATGAGTTCAAGACTAGCCTGGGAAACATAGGGAGACCTAATCTCTACAGAACATAAAAAAAAATAATAATAATAATTAGCAGGCATAGTGGTGAATGACTGTAGTTCCAGCTACTTCGGACACTGAGGTGGGAAGACCTCTTGAGCCCAAGAGTTCAAGGCTGCTGTGAACTCTGAACTTACCATTACACTCCTGCCTGTGTAGCAGAATGAGACCCTGTCTCAGAAGGAAAAAAAGTCTAGGCTGGGCGTGGTGGCTTACGCCTGTAATCTCAGCACTTTGGGAAGCCAAGGCGGGCGGATCACTTGAGCCCAGGAACTCGAGACCAGCCTGGGGAACATGGCAAAATCCCATCTCTACCAAAAATATACACTACAGCCTGGGTAACAGAGCAAGACCCTGTACCCTCCCTCAAAAGCCCCCCTCCCCAACGTCTCAATATATATCAGTGCTAAAAAATCTAAATATATTCTTCTTATACAATGAATTTAATTAGAAATCAAAAAAGATAAAAGATCTACAAGTGTCAACCTCCAGTTAGTAAGGTGCTCCTATGGTTGTGATGAAGAAATCACTAATATTTCAAACTTAATAATAATGAACCCCAAGTAAAAAAATGAATTAAAAAGCATATTTTAAAATAGCAATTAAAACACAGGTTAATAATTGAAGTGAAATAATAAGTACAAAAGATAAAATAAATAAAATGGGAAATAGATAAAAATAAACTAAAAACAAAAATGGTTCTTTGAAAAAAATGAAATAGTGAAAATCTTAACGTTTTAAAAATAAAATTAACAATATCACAGATGACAAGAGGAAATCACTAGAAAAACATTTTAAAAGGCTATATATATAATATATAAACATTTTTCTCATATTTTAAAATTTAAATAAAAGTTATAAATTTCTAGTAAACTCTATCAAATATTTAAGGAAGATATTATATCAATGGTTTCAAAATTCTCCAGAAATAGAGGAGGGGAAGGACTTAACATAGTTTAGAGGCCAGTATAACCTTGATACCAATATCCGACAAATATATTTGAACAAGACTTTTACAGAGCAACATTCCCTATGGTCTGGATCCAGTATGTTTACTCTATAATTAGATAATATAATCTAGAACAAATGACAAGATTTTGAAAATGTATGAACCACTGGACTTATGCCAATAATATTTTAGTTAGGCCTTCAAAAAAATAAATCAATATAGGCTGGGAATGGTGGCTCATGCCCGTAATCCCAGCACTTTGGGAGGCCAAGGCAGACAACTCACCTGAGGTCAAGAGATCGAGACCAGTATGACCAACATGGCGAAACCCTGTCTCTACTAAAAATACAAAAATTACCCTGGCATGATTATGGAAGCCTGTAATACCAGCTACTTGGGAAACTGAGGTAGGAGAATCACTTGAACCCAGGAGGCGGAGGTTGCAGTGAGCCAAGATCACACCACTGCACTCCAATCTGGGAGACAGAGTGAGACTCCATCTCAAAAAAAAAAAAAATCAATATAAAGTCATCATTATTTGATAACAAAAGAAAACAATAACGTTATCATTTAGTAGGTGTATGTGACATAATGACAAATATATGTTTAGTTTTTGCCCCTGGTTCCTGACACATAGCTTCTAATGCTCTTCTAATTTCTTGAGTGATAGGGTATTAGAAAGATGTCTTGTTCTAATATGTGGTCTTTGACCCTGTTTCCAATACAGAGCACTTTAACATCATGGAATTTTCTATGTAAAAGGTTCATCTTTTATTCTAATGAGGTGACTGCTGGTGGGCTCATGGACAGCTTTGGGATAGAGTCTGGTCAACAGAAAGACCAAGCCATAACTAAAGCATTGAACTTTCACCTCTTACCTTCCAGAGGGGAGAGGGTCTGGAGTTTTAGTTAAGAATCAATCATGCCTACATGGTGGCATAATCATGGTAAAGACTATAAAAATCACTAAAAGTTGGGAATCAGAGAGCTTCTGAGTTCGTGAACAAGAACACATAAATATGCTAGAAAGGTGGTGTGCCAGGAGAGGGCATAGAAGCTATGTACTCCTCCCTACATACCTCACTCTATGTACCTCTTCATATGGCTGTTCATCTCTATTCTTTTTTGTATACTTTATAATACACACGTTCAATGTAAGTAAATATTTCACAGAGTTTTATAAACCATTATAGCAAATTATCACACCTAAAGAGGAGATGGAGGAATCCTCCAATTTATAGCAGTAGAACTGGAGGTTTGGGAGGCCTGGACTGGGATTGGCCTTTGAAGTAGGTGGCAGTCTTGTGGGACTGAGCCCTTAACCTGGGGGGTTAATCTAACTCCAAGTAGATAGTATCAGAATCCAACTGAAGTACAAGACATGCAAAAGGTGCCCACAAAGGATTGGAGAATTGCTTGGTGTGGAAAACACACACGATATAGAAGTGTTGTGAGTACAGAAAAACAGATTGTCTTCCCATTTAATGTATAAAAAGCATTTGACAAAATTCAATATTTAGAAAACAAGGAATACAAGAAAACTTCAAAAACTTGATAGAGATCATTTGCAAAATATTTGCAGGCAACAACATACTTAAGGATAAAAAACTGCTTTTATAATAACATCAATAAAATGGCAATGATGTTCATTTTCACTATGTCAAAGTAAGATTTTATTGCCAGTGCAATAAGGCAAGAAAAAAGAAAGACACATTGATAAAAAATGATGAAGTAAACTCATCAGTTTTCAAGTGATAAGTTTTTTAATATTAAAATTAAGTTAAAAGATGCATACAAGAAATCAGAATACAATGTCAATATGAAAAGCAATTGTTCATATCATATAACCCACCAATATTCACAAAATAAAATTTAAAACATTGATTTAAATGGGATACAATTAATAAAATACATTGCATTAACTTTAATAAATACATCAAACAATCAACATTAAAACTTCAAAGTATCATGGAGAAAAATAAAGAAAATTTAAGCAATATACCATAATAATAAATGATATATTCAACCACGTATTGTGAAAATGCCACTTCTTTCAAAATTGATTCTATGTTGTCTTTTAATTTGGTAGAAATTTATAAGCTGAACCTAAAATACATGTGGAAATTCAAAGATTACAGAATACATAAACAATCTTGAAAGAGTACAAACTCAAAAACAAAACTTATCAAAAAGCTACACTAATTAAGCTACTGAAGTGAAGATGGAAAAACAAATTAAAAAATAGAATACAGTGTTCAGAAATAGGCTTTCACACACATGAGTAATAGATTTTCCAAAATTTTAAAGCAATTTAAAAGGAATAAAAATAATTTTTGTACTTGAATAACCAGTACTTGAATAAATAGTACTTGAATAACTCTCTTTAAAATACATCACTAAGAAAAAAAAAGCAGCCTATAGACTAAGCTAATGTGTAGGCAATGCAAAATATATATATTTAAAAATCTTTAATAAAGAAAAATAGTCATTTAAAAAAATAAAGACTTGGGGGAAAAAACACAAGGAAGTTATATTTACCAACAACTACCTTTAAAAATTGCTCAATATCATTATTCATTAAGGTAATGTCACAGGATCCTTGGGGTGTCACTTTTCTAGCTGGAAACCTCTGTAGCCAGTGGCACCTTTGCCCAAGTTTTGCTCAGGCCTACTGGGCTCGTTCCGCCCACTTGGCCTGGAAGGCCACACCCAGCTTGTGCTACTGGCCCAGATCCCATGCCTGCCAATAGCGAGCCAGGCGCAGTGCAGCAAGGAGTGTCTGAGCCAAGGAGTGCAAGGTCTGCAAGGAGTGTCTGAGCCAAGGAGTGCAAGGTCTGGCACTGCACACAGCTGGGCCTGCCAGCTGCAGTGGGGTAGGCAGTTCCAGGCACTGGTACAGGTACTGGCTCCATGCAAGGCTGTGACGGGACCAGGCATATTGCAAGTGTCTTCAACTGCAGGCACCAGGGAATGCAGTGGTGCCCAGAAGCTTAGAGATGCCAGGAATTACAGAACCCCAAAGAAAGTGTCACAGCCTTGGCTTGGAGAAGCCCTAGGTATAAGTTCCCCAAAGGGCCTCAACCCTTCTCTCCTCTTGTTGCCCACAATGTGATGAGCAGTGGGCATGTTTCAGCCCTGTTTGTGTTACAGCTTTTTCAGTCTTGCCATTCAGCAAGTCCCAAGGTCTTGTCCCGCATCCAGGAAGAATGAAGTAAACAGACAACTGGAGGGTGAGCAAGGTGGAGAGGAGCTTCAGTGAGTGACAGAACAGCTCTCAGGAGACCTGAAGTGGGTAGTTCCTTTCTGCAGAAAGCTTGTCCCAATGAGTGTCCAGCTCTCAGTGGAGAGGAGTCACACAGTGAGTGGCTCCTTTCCGCAGGCAGATCATCAGGATTAGTTGAGGAGAGGGGAGGAGGTCCGCAGGGGGTAGCTCCTTCCTGCAGCTGGTAGTCCCGCGATCTGTTTGAGTCTGTCTGAGTCCAGGGTTTATATGGGCTCAGAAAGGAGGAAGTGCACGCTGACTGGTCCGTGGGCAGACCCAGAAAAAGCACCGTAAGTTCTCACTCCCGGTGTGTACTCCACCTGGAACTGGCAGCCTGGCCCTCAAGATTCAGGCTGTCCCTGGCTTGAAGGTAGTGAGTGCCAGGGGGCCTGCCCCTATCCACCCAGGAACCTATCTGCCTCCCACCGTCAACATGTGAACCATGGTGCCAGTCTGTTTGTGCCGAGAGATGCCTGCAGGCATCTCTCAGCTCCCCCTTGGCCTCCCTCCTGTTGATGCAGAAAGTGGGGAGTGGGCCAAGGCAGCAGGGCCTGACATGTCAGCACCACACTGAGTGTGTGCTCACACAGCCGGGTCATGACAGTTCCCAGGCTCAGCCACAACTTTGCTTCTGCCAGTAGTAGGGAGAGGCCAGATAGCAGGAGCAGGTACTTCTAGGCCTGTTGGGGTAAGGGCTTCCTGGGCCCCTGAGAACACAGAGATGCCCTGGTCCAGAGCTGCAGCTTGGTGATTGTAGCTGGCCAGGAGTAGGGGCTCCCACTCCGCCAGTTCCTGGCTCTTGTTGGCCCCTGCAACCCTGGCAACCCCTCCCCCACTGCAGCCAGTGTCTTTGCAGTGGCCACTCCAGATGGACCGCTGCTGGCATCAGTAATACATATTCAAACAGTGAGGTACCATTTCATGCACTAGAGTGGCAAAAATATTTTTGCAGGAATATGTACTAACTGGAAGAAGACATTTTCAGTTCTGTAATTGTACAATCATTTTAGAAAGTGTTTGGTTGTTTCATATAAGTTTAAAAGAACCTATGGACAAGCTATTTCCGCTACCAAGTATACCCAGGAGAACTGAATATCTATGTTACAAAAACTCATGTAAAACAATGATAGCAGCTTTATTAGTAAAACCAAAAAAATAAAAAATAAAAAATAAACACATGTCCAGCAACTGAACATATTTGTAACAAATACAGAAGGGTAGAAAATGTTTAATGAATTTGAAGAAGGCTTAAATTACTCACTGTGGGCAATGGTAAAGTAAATTAAACATATGGACTTTGTTACATCTCTGGGCAGTGTTGTGAGGGAACATTTGAAATTGGTGATAATGTGTATTTTTTTGTGACTTTTCTCTATTAGGTCCTTAGATGAATCATAGAAAAATCAAATGTTGGAATTTATCTAAAGTTGAAGTTTTGCTATGCAATGCAACCAAAATTCAGAGGAGAAAGGGAGTTTAGGATGTTAGTGAGGATGTGTTCCTGAAATGAAGACTATGGGATATCCAATCAGGTATCAGGGAAATGAAGAAAAGAGCGAGATAATGGATTGGAGGAAAGTAAAATGGTGGTCAGAGCTTTCCCAATTGTGACCTATATTTTGACTGTGGGCATGGGTTATTAAAGTAGAGAAAGGAGGGTCACTTCAAATAAGATGGTGAAGAGATTGAAAGGGAAGGCTTTGGGACTGGTAATCCAATTAGGTATTAGAGTCTCCTAAGGTAATTAAAGTGATAACAGGGCTTGAAATCAAGAAGAAAATTGAGCCAAAGTTAATGGATATGATGGAGAGCTGGACATGTAAAGAAAGAAGGGAGAAAGCAGAAACGTAATAGAGAAAGTGATGAAGTAGGTAAAGGACAAAGCATGCAAAATAACTGGTTTTGGTATATCTATTTATCTTTTGATATCTATAAGTGTGGCATGGCATAGATGGGGATTTTCTTTTCATTATCTTGAAAATATAAACATGTTAGGGATAAACAGGCATGTAGTAATAACACTATCATAGGGAATAGGTTTCTTAAGAAAAGTTTTCAACATTTTTAAATTTGAGAAATGAAATAATCTACCTTTTTATGGCATCTATGCTTAAACATATAGCTTCTTTTTCTATCATTCTCATTTTTTCCCTTGTGAGTCTTGCTTGAATTTGCAGCTATAAAGCATGGCACATGTATACATATGTAACTAACCTGCACAATGTGCACATGTACCCTAAAACTTAGAGTATAATAAAAAAAAAAAACATAAAAAAAAAAAAAGCATGTCTTTTCTTTCCAAACACTGTTATCTTCTTTATATCTGTGGTCTTTGAAGAGGCAATTTGCAGAAGTACCTAGGCTTTCAGTCATTGAATTCTTATCTTGATCTGTTACAACCTACTTTTGGTCCTGTATTCTCATTTAAAACTGCCCTCATAAGGTAGCTTTTGCCCTTATGAAATTAACTGGCCCAAGTTTTTTATACATTGCCAAGTTCTCTTGTCAAGCTCTCTCTCTCTTTAGATGTACCTACTTAAGATTTCCCTAATTGTCACTACTTTGTTTCATCACATGTTTATATTCTTTATACTGGAAAACTCAATACATCTTCTTACTCCGTTATCAGCTATATCTGTATTAGATATCTGTTCACCATAAAGTAATTTCCTTTCTCTTTCCAGTTAATATCAACAATTTTCCCATTGATTTCTAAGTTTCACTCACTCTATAGAATATATTTACTATTTATTACCTTTTCATGTTCTCTTCCACTTTCTTTCCACTAGTTTTTATCCTTTCCCAAATCTTCAGTTATCATATGATCAATTCTTTTGTCATGGGTATCTCCAACCATGACACATTCTGCTTTATTCAATTCACTATATATACTTCTACCTGTGACATCTTCCTGTATGTTCTGTGACCATCTACAACTTAATATGACAAGGTCATACTCTTGAAATTTCCTATATAGCACCCTACACTCTTCTTAACTCCATTATTCTGCCAATTTCAATTGCTCAAAATATGTTAAATTTCAGAAATCTTTGATAACCAGGTATTATCTTCAATCTAGTAATCATTTAATAGCGAATCATTACATAAATTAAAGGAATAAGACCCTCTCTGCCTGCTTCTGGCAAGCCATATAGAAATGTGCTCTAGCTCCTTAAAAAAATACTTTCAAATGAGCTCTGGATAAGCATTATAACAGCTGTATATTAAGATGGCAGAAAATAAAACTCAGTAATTCTCAAGTGTTAACTTGCTTACATAATGTAAACATAATTTTTGAAGAAGTATTTTTATTTTATTATACAAACTGCCAAGCCCAGATAGCTGTATGAATCTTAGTTATAGGACCAATTTTCTCTAAATGACTTTATGTTTTATAATTTCCCAAACTCAGGAATTATATTTTTTATTCCTTTTCTTTTGCACAAATTGAACATGTTTATAATTCTAGTTTAAAAGATTAACTTTAAGTATAGCAAGGAATAGGCAGGTTTTCGCTATCATTTTGTGTGTGGGGTGTGTGTGTGTGTGTGTGTGTGTGTGTGTGTTTCTTACAAGCTAGCAAATTTATCGTTCATCATGCCTTTATGCACTAGTTGAGGAATTCAAAATTTATTCCAGATTTTACAAAGTACTTTTAAAATTATAGATCTTTATTAAAAAGACATCGAAAATTAGGTAAAGTAAAAGATTATAGCCTATAAAATGTTATTTGTTTGGAAAAAATTATAGAGTATGCTAGTTGTATTCACTGTTAATTCATTATTCATAGTTGCGTATAAATAAGAAAGATGATTCTGCAATCAGTTTGAGCCTCTTAAGAGTGACATTTTGGCTATTCTATACCTTACTCCTTATCCTTTGGACTCAGCTTAAATATCATGTCATAATGGGATCTTCTCTGACTCAAACTAGGTCAGCCTCTTCAGTCCCTTATAAACTGACACAACACTCCCTACTTCCCAGTTTTACCTCATCTTCCTTGAAAGTTACTAAAACATGTATGTTATTTTCTCTTATATTTACCTGTCATCTATGGCCAGGGATTAGTAAAAGTTTAAGGAGCGGGGCATGAATGTTTAGAAAAATGATATACTATACCCCAAGACAATATCCATCAAATTAAAATTTCTAAAAATTTTGACTTAGAAAATAAACTTATAATTTCACTCATAAAATTATAACAAATAGATGTACAGAGATATTTGTTTCATCAGTTTTAAAAAAAAAGAGGCTAAGTACCCACCCCTATTTAAAACAGTGAGATAAATTCTTAAGGTCTGGTATAAAATTGTCCCTAAGATACATTTTAAACACATAAACACACTATGAAAATAAATCACCATAGCATATTACTTTTATGAAAATAAGTGGATATAGTAGTTATAGCAGTATATTCATTTTACATAGAAACATACCTAAGAAACTTTGTTTACAGGAGCTATAATTTTTGGAAAGTAGGAAATATAAATTTACTTTTAAGATATTTTAGATCATTCTGTCTTACTTGAACTTTCTTATAGTATCCATGTTGGATATCTTTTACTTATATATCAACATGGGTTATAGTAGTACAAATATTAATCATTTTTTTCACAATTAAATATACTTTTTTCTTATTTTTAGAATTAAAATCCAATAAATTTTCAGATGATCAGATAATAATATAATATAGAAACACTCCATATGTCACAATTTACTAATTCATACTTAAAGTATTTGAATTTAAAACAGACGGTTTTTAAGACTGTCAAATTTAAAAGAATAGTTACTTTCAAAGGTTAAGAAAAAATTAGAATTATAATTATAGACTGAAAAAGGAATGACAGGTTTTTTTGGAACTAATATAAACATATCTCTTTTCTTACAATTATGTCAATATATTTTTGTATTAAAAAGACAACACTGATGAATAAAATAAAAGCTTCTTATAATTTTGGAAATCAAAGTTCTGGGGAAAATTATTGTCTGTCATGTGAATTATATATCCTTGAAATATCAAAAAAGTGATAGACTTGTTCATTAAAATTATTCCTTCTGAAAATTTTCCAGTAATAACTATTTAGATTTGGAGATAGAAGCAAAAAGGAAAGTAGAATTTTTTTTCATCCAGCTAATATTTCTCTTTGTATGCATATTCAAATACTTGCTTTGCTTTTTTGAAAGTTCCATAATATAAAATTGTATTTCCTAAGCTGACACTTTTTTAACAGTTTAATAATAAATAGAACAAAGTATTTAAAACTTTTTATATGTATGTATTGACTATTCAATTCTCTTTTTTTTATTCTGGTATTTGCTTGATCAGAAAATATTTCAAAATGATTCACGCACTGCAAATGGCACATTCTTGAAGATCCTGAAAATATACTCCTCTTTTTGGAATCTTAAGGATAACAATAATTCCAAGAAACAATATTATCAATTCTTTAATAGTGTTCAGAAAACATCACATTTGAAATGTTTTTCATCTTTTATGATAAGAAAATTGTAATAGCTAGAAGGGAAGCTTATACAAATAAGCCACAGTGGCATAGTTCTCTAAATGTTATTTCTATTTTGATCATTTGAAATTAATGTTTTGTTTAATGCATTTTGAACTCACTCATCATTCATTGGTTTCAATCATGTAGTTTTGTATGTGCTTTTGAGTGAAAGGATGTTGATCAAAGACATAATTGTGTCCATAATTCTTTACACAGAGGGTTTGTGAAGCCCAGATATGTCGAAAATCACTGAGGAAGAGTGCAGAGGCAGCATAGGTATGGGCATTAATTTAATATTGCCCAAGTCCAGCATCTAATGAATTTACAAAATATTTTCAAATAAAATGCAAATCTTGTATATGGTGCATTTCTCATTAAATTTTCTCTTAATTAAATTTGTAACATTTTCTTCTGGGGTAAATATTGCCAAGTAATACTGATTGAAGTGCCACCAAGAGTACTGTTTGTGACAAGAGTTCAAATGTTAACAAAGAGCCATGATGAAAATATATAAACTCAAAATAGTGGCAACATAAAACCATGCATATTTATTTTATAAATGTCATAATCAAGATATATCTCTTAACATTTGGAAGATCAAATTGGATTCTTACTTTCACTTAGCTTCTGATAACACACAATTTTTCTAAAGATTTATAGTCATTATCTACTTTTAATGTTTTGATGCAGTTGTGGTTGTTATTCACAGACATGCATTTTTTTTCTAAAATAGTTACAGCGTGAATTTTATTTTATCTCTAAATCTTTTTATAATATTAGGTGCTTTAAAATCTGTACTCATTTTTAGCATGCAGATGCCAAAGAGTAAAGTAGAAAATAATTAATACATAAACAAACAAACAAATACAATAATAAGCAAATTAAATAATAAATAACCAGTTGTACAACTGACAATTTTCACTGGTCATGTGCAATATGTGAAAGCCCAGAGGAAAAAATATTAAATCAATACTCGAAAAGTAAAGCCATAGCTAGATATGAGATTTATATATAGTCTATGACTCAAACAGAAGCTCTGATTATGGCATCTTAAGAAAACATATCAATAATCTATTTTTGTTGTGATGACAGTGCCTTTAGCTTTGAATATACAGATTTTACAAGTTTCAAATTAATATAGCTAATACAACAGGAACCAACAGGAAAGTTTTAAATTAATGCTCTGAATAATTTTAAATGAAATTTAAATGAATAATTTAACTTAATATTTACCATTTGAAGGGATTAAAAAATAGATTATTAAATTTTAAAAATATCTTATTCTCTTCCACTAAAAAACTGTCTTCTTAAAGACAAATAAGCAGATAAAACACTTAGAACAAACCAAACGAAAAACCTGGGCTAATCCTGGGGTAAACCGATGATATATTTTGACTTTAGTGCCCTTTCTATTGAATATAGATTTAGTTATCTGGAAATAAAAATATATAAGAATTCTTGATATATAGAAATTTTAATTGAAGATACCATTGGAGAGTCTACCTTCCATATTCTAAGAAACTGAAAATATGGACATTTCAAATTAGGAGAGAATTAGCCCCTCTACGCTTTCCCAATTTAAAGATGCTCACTATTTTCACAGTGTAGGCAGGTGTCTGCATATATAGAATCAAGAAGCATAGATGTCAAGTGTGTTCTAGAATATTCTAAATATTACACATGCAATTTTAAACCTTAATCAATATATTTTCTTGACATTCCACCTGCTTCTCACATCCTCTACCTCTCCCACCTCCCAAATTCAAACACAGATTTTTACTTTCCAACAGAATAAAATTAAATATACACTGGTTTCATTTCATTTGCTCTCACTTATAAAGCTTTTAGAACTGTGGGGCTTTCCAACATTGGATGAATGTAGTCTAAGCTAATATTGATAAAGCAACCTTTGTCAGTTTACACACATACACACATACATATATAATACCACTTAACTTTTCTTTAATAAAGAAAACGTCACTTATGAAATTTTTTTCCAGGCAAAAAATAGATTTATCTAAATACTCTCCTTTAGTGCATCCTCATCCCTTGCTGAGTTCTCTAAATTAAATTGTTAATCTATGTGTGGTAGGCTGAACAGTGGTCCCACAAAGATGCCCATATTTCAGTCTCTAGAACCTGTGAATATCGTACCTTCATGGCAAAATAGATTTTGCAGATGTTATTAAATAAAATATCTCTAGATGAGGAGATTATCCAGTGGGCTCAATGTAACCATAAGTGCTCTCATAAGAGGATGGCAGGAGAGTTGAAGACAGGGAACCAGTGACAATGGAAGCAGAGTGGGAGAGAGATGGGATGATGCTATGCTGTAGGATTTGATGACTGAGGAAAGGGCCACCAGTCAAGGATTTCAGATGGTGTCTAGAAGCTGGCAAAAGCAGGCAAAGGATACTTCCCAGGAGTCTTCAGAAGCAAGCACCCCTGCTGACATCTTGGTTTTAGCCCGATGAGATGGATTTTGAACTTCTGATGTTCAGATTTGTAAGATAATAAATTTGTTCAAAGTCACTGTGTTTGTGGTAATTTGTTACAGCATCAATAGGAAATTATTACACTGTGTAACTATTGTTATATCTTTAGGGAATTTGTTTAATTACATATAAAAATGTGACAGTATTTTTTCATATTTGTATTCACCTGCAGATATTCAACAGTAAGTCTTTATTAAAACACTCCAAATTTAAAATTTTCCTTGAAAGAGAAATTCTTCAAAATACATAAGTTATTTGGTAAAGCAAAGTATGTAGTTTGGATTCAAAAAAGGAATATTTACTTGTTCCTTTTTCTACTGCAATGCACTTATTGAATATTTATTGAAGATAGCTTTATTTACATTTCATAGTTTTTAGTAAAAAGATAAAGAGAAACTCAACTGATTAAATTACAAATAAAAATCGTCTTTGTATTCTAGATGTTAGCCTTCATACATGATATGACCTCAATAACCCTAGTATACGACTAAATATTACTTCAGATTGTCTTCTGTTTATAAATGGATCAAATGCAAAGCAATGTTATTATTAAGTTGCTAGTTTTCTTTTTCTCACCAATCACATTCCTTCATGGTCCAAAATCTAAGAAAAGATGGAAAAGTCTTATATAAAAGTTTCCACAGAAGGACTGACTACTTTCCTGAAGTTCATACAACCTACAGAAATTACAGTGAAATAAGCATGGACATTTATTTTTCTCATCATATTGAAAAAAAAATGGAAAACTATAGGGGTTCGAGGAGGAGAAAGAAGAGGGGCTGACTGCAGAGGAGCTTCCATAGGAAATTGTGGGTGGTAGAACTGTAGTATATGGTACTGGATTAGTGGATACAAGACTCTGTATTTGTCAAAACCCATAGAACTGTAACACTACAAGGAATGACTTGACTGAATACTGATTTTCAAAACATCATCTAGGATATTAGAGATTTCTGCATTGAATGTGCACTGTCAAAACTTAATTCAGCTGTATTACCTATATATGACAACATCACTGAATGGAAAGTGGGAAAGGAACTCACCTAAATAACTTAGGTAAAGATTGTTTTAACTAGACATTTTAAGGCAAAACGCAAAAATATCTGTGCATAAACAACATCCTATTCTGAAACTACTTTACCTATGTACTGGGGTTGAACAAATAAGCAAATTACTTGTAGATTATGGGAACACAATGAGTCATGGCCAGAGAAAAAGTTACAAATATTCAAAATATATAAGACTGAAATGGTTCTTTTTTCATAGGGAGGGAAAGAGTTGTTTTCCCTCATTCATCACTAGAATCATGAATCATGGCTGAGCCACCTTATAATAAAAAAAAGATTAACAAAAGCATACATATTTATTTAATATAAGTTTAATATGTTTTAATAATAAATTTAGTGAAAAGATTTAAAAGAGAGACTAGATATTTGCATTCCACGTAGATTTTTTTCAAATTTCTTACTCTGGTATTTTTTTTTTTTTTTTTTTGAGACAGAGTTTTGCTCTTGTTGCGCAGCCTGGAGTGAAATGGCGTGATCTTGGCTCACTGCAACCTCTGCCTCCCAGGTTCAAGTGATTCTCCTGCCTCAGCCTCCTAAGTATACTCAGGTAATTTTTTAAAGTTATCACAAATTATCTGTCAAGGAGAGGGAACTTAATTACCTTACCTTTGATTGTGGGCTATGCTTAGTAAACAGCTTCTTAAACTAAAGTATTTAAGTTAAGGAAAACCCAGTAGTTTTGAGGAGACTAAGTATAAACATGACAACAAAATCCAATGTGAAATCCTGAATTGGTTCTTAGAATTGAAAAAGTACTTTTGAAAATAATGTCTGTAATTTTTGTTATAATATTATATAATTCTGACTTTTTGTTACTGGTTGACACAAGGAAATTCATATGGGGGAAGCTTAGTGAAGATTATATATGAACTCTCTATCCAACTTTTTAAAACATCTTTGATATAATTCATATACCATAAATTCACCACGCACAATTCAAGAACTTTTAGTACCTACACGGAATTATGCAGCAACCATGAAAATCTAACTTTAGAATATTTTATCATATCATCACCCCTCTCCATATCCATTAGCACATTTGTTGTAAATCCCCATTCCTTTCCACTACAACTCCTTCCCAGTCATAGGCAAACACTAACATAACTTCTTTCTCTAAGGTTTTCCTGGACAGTTCATACAAATAGAATTATTTAATCTGTTGTCTTTTGTGACTGGGTTTTTTCACTTAGCCCAATTAATGTTCTCAAGGTTCATCCCCGTTGTAGCATACATCAGTAATTCATTTGTTTTTACTCCACTGGATGGATAGTTCCTTGTATACATTAATTTTTAAAAAAATCCCTTCACCCCTGGGTATTTTTTATTTCCATCCATTGGGCATTTGGATTGTTTCTAGTTTTTTGGCTACTATGAATAATGTTGCTGTGACATTAGTGTACAAATTTTGTGTGAGCATATGTTTTCAGTTCTATTGGGATTATACCCAGGGCTAATTGGTGAGTCATATGTTAACTTTACCTTTAACATTTTGTTTCACATTTTTGGGGAGCTGCCAAACTGTTTGGAACAGTGATCTTGCAGAAAATGAGCCTCTGCATTGAGGGGAGTGTTAGCTTAGTAGGAAGGGCTGGACAACTCCTGCAGGTTCAGGATTTGCAGTTACATCTAAGAATTTAACATTAGGGGAGCATGTGCCAAAGTGGGGCTTTCATAATTCCCTGACAATGGCTCTGACTTTGGCATTGAAAAACTGATTTGTTTGGGTTTTTAATCTTTCCGGACCTCATCCATTTTATTAAGCCCTTAGCCTGTCCTCAGCTTTGCCTGCCCTCTAGCTGCAGGAAGAAAGTCACTTTACATGCTGCCAAGGGGGTCCTCTGGCTTTCATATTTGTTTTTCAATTATCGACTAATCTCCTTTGTTTTTTCACTACCTTTCTTCAGGGTATCAGTGGTGCTTAGCAATAGCCATCCCCTTCCATTGTCTCTATAGTTATTATTTATCTTCTGTCTTTCAAATGTCTGACACATGGCCCCAGCTAACATTCCTAATCACTGTTATATTCTGCCAATTCCCTACCTGTGTGACTTTAACAAGACAAACACCTTGCGTCAAGGGCTCTCTGTACTCCACTCTGCACCAATGATGGTTCCTCATTACTAGTAGGATGGCGAGAGATCCAACTATAAAACTCTATCTAACCCCCTTTTTTTCTTGCACCATTTCTGGGAACTACTGTCACTAGTTTGTTTCTGAGGAAGCAGAAGCTGAGACATAGTTTGTTGAGCTGAGTATTAATTAGAGATTACGCCTGTTGATGGGTGAAAGAATAAACAACTTTGGACAGAGGGAGAGATCAAACTGGTGCAGTCCCAACAAACTTTGGCCAACCCCAGGAAAAACTCTGGCATGAATATGTCTTCTCAGCACTGTTCCACATTGGGATTGACTAGTTGATCTGTTGTTAAATATGGGCAACCCAGAAAAAGTGTGGTCTCAGGTAGGCAACCCTCTGCTAAGGGTGAATCAATCCCTACTAGGGAGAGATACCAGTTAGGGTGACTAGTTCTTCGTTGAAGAAGAATATGGGTGGTCCACCACACTGACATCCACATAAATAACATAGCACACAGTTAAAAATAAAATGTTCTGTCTCAGCCTAATGCTCTGTTTAACCGTACTGTTCCAGGTAGAAGAACAGAGCAATATTTGCCTGCAATTGAGAACGAGTTATAAAGTGAGTTTCCTTTTTTCTGTGACTTTTTTCTTAAACCAATACTGGTATCAACGATATCTTCTTTTTGTAAAAATTTATGGTAAATAGGATTCTTATTACTCAGCTTAGAGTGTATGTGTATGTGTGTGTGTCTTTTCCAGCTGTGTGTCCTAAGGGTTAACTTAAATTAAAAGTCCTAAGGGTTAACTGTGTGTACACAGATTGCCTATTAAAAGCATTTACACAAATTATCCGTACTAAATTATAAATAACCCAAGCAGAAGAAAAAATTAAAAATCAGACATATTTTTCTATCTGTGATAAAATAAAGATATGTTCATTTTGAATAACTTGGGCTATAATTTTAAAATATGTTTTAGCGTAGTAATACTACCACACAGAAATAACCTGTTTTCCAGGATCATTGGCTATTTTGTTTGTTTGCTTATTTGTTTTCTGAAATTTATTTCTTGTTTTTTTATATGTAACACTATATTGTGGATTTGAACACGTTGACATTGCTATGTGCTGGTTAAAAAAAAGCAAACATTTTATAGAACATGTAACAGCACATAAGAAGATATATATTAATAGATGTAAAGAATAAAGAGTTAAAGACCATATCAAAAATACAAAACATAATTTTGCCAAAACAGCTTAAAAACCTGATTTTCTGTTATTTCTAATTTTTAAAAAATGGAATATAGAAAGAAAAGTAAAATATATGGGATATATGCAAATTTAGAACAAAACAGATGAGTAAAATGATTTTACAAGGCTACATTTATCATTGAAAGCATCCTCAAACACAATTCCTTTGATAATGTTTTATTATTTGTTGTTTTACAGCCTCTCTAATGTCAGTTTGATGCATATAGTACATTTTTGTTCAAGTTGAATAATATTCCTATGTATGTTCAGCAGATGCTTTTCTATACCAAATGATTTTTAGACATCCTCATCAACTACATAAACCCATTTTGGAATTGCATGCATGCAAATGAGGATGACATGCATGTAAATTTGCATTTGAAATGACTAAATTCCCTTTCTATTTCCATTCTTTATTCTCAAAGCAAACTATTCTTTTTATCTTAAAAGAAAATATTAGTTCGAACTCAGGATGTTTATGACAGTAAAGTCAAAACAGATGTTTACATCTAAGTAATAGGACCAGATTATTTGTTGCTATAATGACCAACTTGGCCTTTTCTAAAATGAAAACATTTTAGAATAGATAGTCTAGAATTCCATAGACCAAATTTTTATTTACGATGTATTTGCAGGGCAAAATATTGACCACTGTCATATCTAAACCACAGTTATTTTAAAAAATGCAATGGATCGTTTTTAACAAAAGACGTTCCCTTATGATATATTATGAAAGGCAGAAAACTTGAGAGTTTAACAAACTGTCAAAAAATATGTGCCTAATGTTAGAAATTAGTCAAAATTAAGGTTTTATTTTCAACTAGGGAAATTTCCAATTAAGTAATTTTAATTAAGAGAATAACTAACATTAAATTACATATTGCCCCATAGTGTTCTATGAGTTCCTTTTCTTATTATTTCAAAAAAATAAATAATAAGGGTTATCAAAAGGAGATAGTCCAAAGTTATAAGATTATTTAATTTTCAGTGACTATTTATGCTATAAATAGATTAAAATCAAATATGACAATGAAAAGCATAATTTAATGGATACAGATTTAGTTATAAAGTATTAATATAGTGATTGCTACAGTTAGATATTTATAAACTGAGAAAAGACCTCTTAGGCGTAAGTAGAGTAAGAAACTAGACAGCTTTCAAATTAGAGCAGACCAAATCCTGAACACGAACTCAAAGACAGACTACTAATTTCACAGAATGGTTAAGCTAAAGATGATTCATAAATGCAAACCCTGAGTTTATAAACACATATCCTCAGTTTCCTAGCATCATTCCTGAATCTAATCTAGTGTTTCATGTTTTTTTGAATATGGATATCCAATTGTCCCAGCACCATTTGTTGCAAAGATTATCACTTCTCTACTAAATTGCATTTGTCCCTTTCTCGAAAAACTTTGTCTTTATATGAGTGTATTTCTGATTTTTTATTCTGTTGCATTGATGTATATTTTAATCTTAATTCCAATATGACAGTAATTTTATTAAGGCAGCTCTATAATAAATCTATAAATAAAGTAGCATTAATTTGATTTGCTTTTTTTTAAAGTTGTCTTGTCTATTCTAGGTATTTTTTGTTTCCATACTAATTTGCAGTTTCTAGAAAATCTGAAAATCCTGCTAACAACCTCATGAAAAATTCTGAAAGCAGATCCTTCCTCAATCTACTCTTGTAATGACTGCAATCCTAGGTAACATCTTGATCACAGTTTTTGAGAGGTTCTAACATTCTGGATACAAAAACTATAAGATAATAAAAGTTGTTAGATAAGCCACTAAAATTAGAGTTTGTTTATTTATACAGCAAATAGGTTGCTAATTTATGGTCAGAGAACCATGATGTAAATACTTTCTAGGACTTGTTTTAAATCCCAGAATATGGTCTAAATTGATATGGTATTACTTAAATACTTTCTGGGTCTTGTTTTAAGCCCCTGAATACAGTCTAAATTGATAAATGTTACATGTACTTTGAAACAAATTATCTATCCTGCTATTGTTAGTTACAATATTTTATAAATATCATGTATGCAAAGTTGGCAGATGGTATTGTTCAAGTCAACTATAGTAGTCCCCTTTTATCCACAGTTTTGTTTCTAGAGGTTGCAGTTACCTGTAATCAATAGTTGTCCCAAAATATTAAATGGAAAATTCCAGATACAAACCATTCATAAGTTTTAAATTGCTTGCCATTCTGAGTAGTATGATGAAATCTTGGACTGTTCTGCTTTGTCCCACTCTGTCCTACTCCTTCCTGCCCATCACTTTGCCCAGCGTATCCACACTGTATATGCTACCTGCCCCATTAGTCACCTAGCAATCGTCTCAATTATCAGATCAACAGTTGTGGTATATCAGTGCTGGTGATTAAGTAACCCTTATTTTACTTAACAGTGTTTCCAAGGCACAAGAGCAGTGATGCTGGCATATTTTCATATTTGTTCTATTTTATTATTAGTTAGTGTTGTTAATCTCTTACTATGCCTAATTTTTAAATTAAACTTTATCACAGGTGTGTATGTGTGGAAGAAAACATATATATAGCATTTGGTAATGAGGTTTCAGGCACACACTAAGGGTCTTGGAATGTTTTCACCATGAATAAGGAAAAACTACTGTATATCCATTCTACCTTTATTCTGCTAGTTCTACTAGTTCTATCGATTATTGAGACAGGATTATTGAAATTTTCACTACAATTATGGATTCATCTATGTGTCCATGCAGTTCTATCAGTTTTTCTTCATATCTGTTGAACTTCCATAATTAAGGGAATATATATCTTGGTGTCTCATGTATCCTTGATTATTTAACCCCTTTTTCATTATGAAATTACCTACTTAGTGTTAGCATGGTATGTCTTTTTCCACCTGTTTAATTGTAATATATATACACACACATATATATATTCATATATAATATATAGGAAGTGTGTGCGTGAACACACACACATACTTCCTAAAAGAAGTATACTTCGAATATATGTATATATACACATATATGTATATGTACACAGAAATACATACATATATATATATATATGTAGTTTTTCATGCAGTATCTGCCTTTCATTGGAGCATTAAGACCATTTACATTTGATGTAATTATTAGTATGGTTAGGTTTAACTGTATTATCTTTTCTACTTGTTTGCTATTTGTTCATCTTGTTTTTCATCTCCCTTTCTTCATTTTAAGCCTACTTTTGGATAAATTATTTTTCATGATTTTATTTCATCTACTTTCTTTCTTATTCATGATACATATTCGTTTTCTATTATGTTGTAACATATTACCACAGTGACTTAAACAATAAAACAAAATATTATCATAGCAATTATGTAGGTCAGAATTTTAACATGGGTCTCACTGGGCTAAGATCTAGATGTCAGCAGGGTTGTATTTCTTCCTGGAAGCTATGGGACAGAATCTGTTTTCTTTCCCTTTCCACTTTGTAGTGGCTGCACACATTCCTTGATACCTGGACCTCTTTCTCCAGCTGCTAAGTTGACAATAACAGGTTGTATGCTTCTAACATTACATTATTCAACCTTCTTTGCTGCTTTAAAGCTTACACATTTTTAATCTATCAGAGACTATCTTAAAGTGATATTATACCCCTTAACATATAGAACACAAAGCTTAAAAATAATATTTTACTATTGTTTCTTCCACAATTTATGCTATTTTGTCATATCTTTTACATACACCTATGATAACACAGTCTTAGTATTTTTATTTAAATAGTCAATATATTTTAGGAGATTGAAATAGTAAGACTCTTATGAAATTGTCTATGTAGCTACTATTTTCTGTGCTCCACATTCCTTCATGCAGATTCATCTTCTGCCTCAAGAATGTCCTTTAGGCTGGGCGCGGTGGCTCATGCCTGTAATCCCAGCACTTTGGGAGGCCAAGGTGGGTGGATCACGAGGTCAGGAGATTGAGACCATCCTGGCTAACACGGTGAAACCCCCTCTCTACTAAAAATACAAAAAATTAGCCGGGAGTGGTGGTGGGCACCTGTAGTCCCAGCTACTCAGGAGGCTGAGTCAGGAGAATGGCGTGAACCCAGGAGGCAGAGCTTGCAGTGAGCCGAGATTGCACCATTGCACTCTAGCCTGGGTGACAGAGCCAGACTCCATCTCAGGGAAAAAAAAAAAGTGTCCTTTAACATTTATTTCTCTCTCTCTTTTTTTTTTTTTTTTAAATAAATGATGTTGCTCCATCACCCAGGCTAGAATGTAATCGTACAGTCATAGCTCATTCTAACCTCAAACTCCTGGCCTCAAGCGATCCTCCTGCCTCAGCCTCCCAAAGTGTTGGGATTACAGACATGAGCCACTGCACAAAACCCCTTTAACGTTCCTTATAATGTGAACCTTTGGTGATGAATTATTTCAGGTTTTGTTATCTGAAAAATATCTCTATTTTTACTTCTTTTTGAAATAGATGTATTTTTTCTTGGCATAGAATTATAAGTTAACACTTCCTTTACTTTATGTTTTCCGGAATTTAAAATATTTTTCTCCCACATCCTACATCATTTGCATTATTTTCCTCAAAAATTATCCTGTCGTCCTTATGTGTATTTACATTTACCTAATATGTATTATTTTCTCTATCGTTTTAAAGTTATCTTTAACACTGGTTTCAAACAGCTTGATTATCATATGCCTTGGGGGAGTTTTCTTCGCATTTCTAGGGCTTGGGTTTTGTAAACTTTCTACACTTCTAGGTTTTTAGCTTTAATCAAAATTGGAAATTTTTGGCTCTTATTTAAATATTGGTTTTTCTTCTTTTTTATTTGCTCCTGGTATTATATTTATGCATGTATTAGCCCATTTAAAGTTTTCCAAACTTAAAAGATGTTATTTTCACTTTTTGAAATTCAACTTTTTTTCTCTTTTATTTTGGGTGTTTTTTATTGCTGTATATTTATTTAATAATCTATAGTTTCAAATCTTCTATTAATCCCCTCCTATGTATTTTCAGTCTCATGAATTGTAATTTTAATTTCTGTAACTTAATATGAGTCTTTTAAAATATCTTCTATATCTCTGCTTTACTTTTTTTTACAGATGGAGGAGTCCGGTTCTAATGATGGTTTTAGTGGTCTTTTCTGCTAATTCTGATATTAGCTGTGGCAATTTCAATTGATTGATTATCCTTTCATTATGAATTATGCTTTCCTGCTTTTATGGATACCTAGTAATTTTAATTGGATGTTTGACATTGTAAATTTTACCATATTCCGTACTGGATATATTTGTATCTCTATAAATTGGCTTGCGCTTTGTTCTTTATACAGCTAACTTAATTGGAAGCAGCTTGAAATTTTCAGGTCTTTCTCTTTAGGATTTGCCAGATGAGACCAGAGCAGCCCTCATTCTAGGGTAATTATTTCTTACTATTAAGGCAAAACCTTCCTGAGTGTTCCACCAAACACCCCAATAATTATTAGTTTTTCCACTTTAGCTGGTGAGAATAGCTACATTCTCAGTCTTATGTGAGTCCAAGTCTCTATTCCTTTTGTGTTTCTTCTTTACCTGGTTATGAATTATTTTCTCTTGTGTTTGTACAATTGAGCAGTCTTCTGTTTACTCATGGGTAACCTTCTTCAGACCTCCAGCATTCTATAACTTTATAGCTTTCACCTCTCTAGGACCTTGTTTTGAGAAGTGCTTTCTCCTGTCTGGCACTCTATCTAGCTGTATTAATTTCTCTGGACTCTCAGCTATGTCTCCTCAACTAATGGAATCTAATACACTCTACCTGAGTTTCTCTTCTCTGCATTATAACTTTTAAAGGCCAAAAGACCCTTTTATTATAGGGCTCACATTGGATGTTTCCCTGTCTCAGGCATCACTGTCCCCTACTATTTGATATCCAATGCCTTAAAAAAACCATAGTTTCAAATATGGTGTCATTTTTTTGTATGTGAAGTTATATGTTTGAATAGAAATACCTGTATACATAAATGATATGGTTTGGCTGTGTCCCCACCCAAATCTCATCTTGAATTGTAGTTCCCATATTCCCCACATGTTGTGGGAGGGACCTGGTGGAAGGTAATTGAATAATGGAGGTGGTTACCCACATGCTGTTCTCATGATAGTGAGTTCTCACGAGATCTGATGGTTTTATAAGGGGCTTTTCCCTCTTTGCTCGGTATTTCTCTCTTCTGTCACCATGAGAAGAAGGATGTGTTTTCTTTTCCTTCTGCCATGATTGTAACTTTCCTAAGACCTCCCCAGCTATGTGGAATTGTGAGTCAATTAAACCTCTTTCTTTTATAAATTATCCAGCCTCAGCTATTTCTTCACAGCAGCATGAGAATGGGCTAATACAATACGTCATTGGTGTTATATCTTAAAATTCTTAGTTTGAATGTAAACAAGCCTTAGAAAAATACTTTTATTTTTTAACACTGGGAAGCTATTCTAGTCCCTGTTCTGTTCCAAATATCATTGCAATACTTGTATAAATGCTTCTACTGGTTGTGCAGAGTATTCCCTGTACACGAAAATGACTTCAAGAGCTCTAAAATTTATTTCTATCAGTAAATTAATGTTTACTTAAAAAAACTTTAAACCTTCATCAGAAATTGCTATTTTTAAAAAAGTAAAAATTTTCAATGTTTGCAAAAGTCAAAGGCATTTTAAGAAATATGATGCTTATAGTGACCTTTACTATTGGTTTGGTTAATATGATATACATTCCTTTTTATATGCCTGTGGAAAGTGTACAAAAATTTTTGAAGACACAAATGCAGGCTGAGAGGGATTGTTGTTGTAGAAGCCAAATTAAGCCTGAATATTAACATTGTCATGATAAATAACAAGGCCACAGACACTAGAGTAGAGAAAAACAGAAGACATAAGAAATGTTAATAAAAGCTGATGAGGCATAAGAACACTTTAGTTTATAAAATTAAAATCATAATGGAATGTTAACTGGATCTCCGTAGATAGAAAGAACTTAAGTAATTTATTTATACAGGCATAAAGTCAAATTCCTGTGGCATGGAATTTGTGTAGAGTTTGCATTGACATTGTGATTAAGAAATCCTACTTATTTACTAAACAAGGAGGAAGAATCAGAGGAGAAACAATGAGACAATAATGTATTGATTACAGTAGAAGAAAATAAACACAGCTATTATTTAAATTTTAAGGCTAACCATAATTTCTCTTTCATTTTAAAAGTATTTATATTTTTAATCATTTTAAAAGTATTTTATAAAAGTATTTAATCATTTTAGAAGTATTTTATATTTTAATCACAATCACTAGTAGCGACTTACCTGAAAATCATATATAGACAATAACTTGGCAAATAATGTATTTTTTCAGACAAAAATATGTCACTTCTAGGGTACAGACATTAATAAAATGTAAAGCTAGTAGTACCTTGGACAATGTCCCGTTGCATCTTCACACTCATCACTAGCTTATATAACACTTTCAAAATTTACTGTATCATGCAGAGTATAAAGTTCCTTGTTTTCATTTAGCTCTGGTAAAAAATTTTAAATTGGCATTGCTTTCAGTTCTAAAAAGACTTTATGTTTTGAAAATATATAATTCTAACTCAAAGAAATAGGGAAGCCAAAAGCTGCTTAGAAGATGCATGCAGAGATGAAATGGCATCTGAAATTTGGAATAGGAAATGAATGATGGGAATATTCTTTAAACTCAGCATATCATTTGAATTTGAAGAATCTTATCATTGAGAATAACAGTTTACATTTTCTTGCATTTAATTCTCTATTTCATAATTGTATTTTGTTCACTTCAGGAGTGTTTTAGAATTCTGATCACATATGTCCTCAAAATAAAAGGTATAACAGAAAACATACAACACTCCCATTTTTGTGACATTCAGATTTGAGAATATCAGACAAAAATAAATGCTTACTATAGTTGGCATCTAAATGCTTATGGAAAATTTTTGGTTAAAATGATAATGTATCACTTTTGTAGTTGAAAATATGTATTCAAATTCACAGTAATTTTTCCATTAAATTTTTGTGAGGAATGTACTTGAGCACTTTAAAAGTAATAGTCTAAGCAGAATTTTCTAATGCAGGCCTGAAGAACAGTCTTTCACTCCCACACACAAGCACATGCACACCCCCCCCCACACACACAATCATAAAGCTAATAATACAGCAAATAAAGCAGTATGTTATTAAGACTTCAAAATTTTATTTGACTGCTAAAGTTTAAAAATTAGCTTTAAAAAACATATAAGACTTTAATAATTCTAAAAAGAAGAATTAAACTACTTCCGAGCTTAATGAATTTAGAATGTTATTTGTCCCTGAAAAATCCTATCTTATGCATGGTGTAAAAACTGCAAAGGTACAGGTGATTTTAAAGATTTCCGACCAAGGGAGAGATTTCTCAAGCTTCTCTAAAACAACCGAAAAAAAAAAAAAAAAAACACTGAGATTCTGATATAAAGCCCAGGGCATCCTATGGCTCATTTATGATTCTCTTCTCATAACAAGCAGGACAAAAATCTTCCTTCAAATATTTGATTAGATCCAGTACTTGCTCCATGTAGAATTGCTCAGTTACATAGGCTTGCTTCTTAATTGGTTGAGGGGTATATTGCAGAGAACAGATGACCATGATAATCATTTTAAAAATAAAGAAGCTCATTTTTCTTAATTTACCACACAATTAGAGCTTATTTCTTTTCTAAATGCAATCAATTCAACAAATATTTATTAAAGTCCTAATTTAAATTAAATATAATATTAGGTGCCGTGGGGAACAAAAATAAACATCTGCTATCAAATGACTGATGATCTGCTATGGGTATACAGACACACTTTTTAAAATTAAATGCAATGCAAATAAAAATAGTCTTTCAATAAATAAAAGTGTTAGGGGACTTCAACAATGAGAGGGACTGTTTCCAGTTGCGACAAGTAAGAAAGACTTTAAACAACTGGCATTTAGGATGGTTTTAAAAGATGTGTAGAACTTCACATTATAGGATAAATGATATATTCTTATATTAGACAGAGATTGCTGAAGTATAATGAGGATTCAAGGACTCAGAAACACATAAAATTCTTGATATGCAAAAGTAATCTTACTTACAGATACAAGCTGCCTGGTTGCGATGTAGATAAACAGTGTTATTAATATTTGTTCAAAGAATATGTCATCACTTATATTCAATCCCCAAATATACTCTTACAGGTTTTATTATTTGGAGCAGATGGAGAAAATCAGGTGCTTAGTGTAATAGTGTGAGATGACGATGTAGCAGAGCATAGATGCAAATGATTGAAATTTGTAAGTAATAATCTTATAAATAATAAATAAGTAATAAATACTTCACTTACAAACACTTACATTTTACTTACAAATATAGTGAAGTAGTTAACGACATGAGATGTAGTAACATAATTGCTTGCAATCACAATCCCATATGTGTTACATACTATTGGAATTATCACGGGAAAGTTAATTATTTTTTCTGTGTCTGTTCTCTCAACTGTAATAACAGTCATGTCAATGATTCATTAACTTAATAAATATGTGTTAAACACTTACTAGATACAGGTCTAGGCATGAGCGAACAAAATAACTAAAAGAAAATCTGTGTATGTGAAACTTACACTCTAGTGGGAGAATATATAAAATAAACAATAAATATAGTAAATAAATTATGTATGTGAGAAACTGTAAGTGCTATGGAAAAGAAAATAATCTGAAGAGGTTTGGGAGTGTTCCAGGGAGTTGAGAGAGGTTTGAAATTTTGTTAATATAATCTAGGTAGGCATTATTGAGAAAATAAAATTTCCTCTACTACCTGAAGGAAGTAAAGGAGTGAGCAGTGCTGATAGCAGCAATTCTCCAGGCAGAGGGAGCATTTCTGGCATGTTTAAAAATCAAGGAGGTAGCTGGGACAGAGATAGTGGGGAGGCATGAAGAGGAAAGGAAATTGGATGAGGTATCATACTGTTTAGGGCTTTATTGACTAATTTTAAGTATTTGGCTTTTATCCTCAGAGAAATAACTACTGAAGAAATAAAGAGCTACATGCTTTTGAACAGAGAATAATACAATTTGACATATATTTAATAAGATGACCCAGGCTCCATACCAACAGTAAACTACGTATTCAGGTTGATATATAATGTTTCATATGAAAGATAACTTAAACTGGAGTGGAAGCAAGGCAGCTAATGAATGGTGATTAGATTCTTGAAGTAGAGTCAATGGGATTCCTGAGGGGTTGAAAATAAAACTGTGAGAGAATAAGAGAAAAATAATGAATCCAAGAATTGGCACCACAGGAAATTGTAGTGTGAATTTGGCACTGAATTAGAGAATATGTAAGTAGTGAAAGTTTGAACAGGAAGTTCAGAAATTTTCTTTGGCATATGTTGAGTTTGAAAGTCATTTGAGGATCTTAAGCAGGAGATGTGAAGTTAGATATAAGTGTTTGGAATTCAGGGGAGAGTTTGTAATTCAGGTGGGAGGTACAAATATGAAAGTTGAGGTTTGAGAACTGTTGTTTAAAGCCATAAGGCATTAAATAATAAAGAATGAATTCATTAAATTAATAATGAAGGTGGTGAATAAATGTTCAGGGATTGAATCTTAGGGCACTCTGATATTGTTTGGCTCTGTGTCCCCACCCCCCAAATCTCATCTTGAATTGTAAACCTCACGTGTTGAGGGAAGGACCAGTGATCCCCATGTGACGAGGGAGGGAAGTGATTGGATTATGGGGGTGGTTTCCTCCATGTGGTTTTCCTTACAGTGAGTGAGTTCTCACAAGATCTGATGGTTTTATGAATGGTAGTTTTTTCCCGCTCTCTCGCTCACTCTCCTGCCAACTTGTAAAGAAGATGTCAGCTTCCCCTTCCACCATGATTGTAAGTTTCCTGGGGCCTCCCCAGCCATGCAGAACTTTGAGTCAATTAAATCTTTTTTCTTTAAAATTTACCTAGTCTCGGGGAGTTCCTTATACCAGTGTGAAAACAGACTAATATACTGATGTTTGGAGAGTTTGAAGCAAAAGGGACTAAAAAGAGGGGACCAATTACATAAAAGAAAAATAAAGAGATTATAGAATCTCAGACCAGATGATAAAACTATAGCCAACTAGTGCTAAATTACTCTCATTTTTAAATGGGAGTGATAAACTGCAGCAAATGCTACTGAAAACTAAAGTAAGATAAGGATTAAATTTTTTGACTATTGAATTTAACATGAGAGCCTTGGTGATTGTGATGAGTGATTTCAATAACGTAAAGGGAGCAAAATGTTAGTTAGGGTAATTTTAAGAGAAAAGGGGACAAGGGTAGTTAGAGACATGAAACATGAAAAATTATTTTCAGAAATTTGCTGTGAAGTGCAACAAATAAATGAGAAAATACCTAAAGAGTAAATAGGTTCAAGAAGGACTTTTTAAATAAAAGCAGAAATAGAATATTTGTACATCCTTATCTTACTTTAGCTTTCAGTAGCATTTACTGCAGTTTATCACTCCCATTTGATATTTGTACATTGATGAAAATAATTCTTACACAGGGAGGCAATGAGGATCTTGGTGGGTGGGGAAAGAAACGTTGTAACCATATCTTTGAGTAAGAGATAGTGGAAATTAATACACAAAGAAGGGGCTATTGTAAACAGGTGCATAAATAGTTAACAACAAGACAAGTAGCAGTGAATAGAAGTATAAAGCAAGAGCATTTGCTGAGACTGAGGATAGAGAATATGGTGTCAGGAAGGTTATATAGAATACCTCCATAGAAAAATGTAAAAGAGGACTTGGGAAACAGTATGATTTTCCAGCCACATTAAATGCCTTCTTGAAGTTTGTTGTCATGAATTTAAAATGAGCACAGCGTACATAGTATATTTATTTTTCTAGCCTCAATCAGTTGCATACATGTAGAATAGATGGAAAATGTATGTTAGTTAGAATTTTAATTTTGACTAGTTTTTGAAAGTAAAAGAGAACCAACCAAGAGAACTGTATATATATGTAGATATATGTATATATATAGTGTGTGTATATATATATAGTGTGTGTGTGTATATATATGTGTATACACTATATGTGCATACATGTTTATGTATGTGTGTGTATGTATATATACATACACACATGTATATATATGTAGAGAGAGATGTAAATGTTTGATGATATAATTTAAGCTGAGTAAAATAGAAAGGACGTTAGGGGCATGGGAGAAAGCAATAACATAGTAGGATAAGTTAGTTCTTACTTATTTCAGCCTTAGTATGTTTCACAACCTTTAAACAGACTATTTGAATTTTTAACAACATCTTAGCAAAAACTAGTTTGATAATTATTTCGTTAAAAAGACATAATTTTCTTTATTTCACAAATTAGAATATAAACAAAAAGTAAGAAACATGCCAAAGCCCATGCTGGTATTTAGTAAAGCCAAGAATAAAATGCAAGTCCTTTTTACACAGAGCCAGTGTTTTTTCTATTTTATCAAATTGCCTGTTTCATTGTAACTCATGATTTTCAAGATACAGCATGATTCTCAAAATAACAAATAACAAAATACACAAAATTAGTATGTGGAATAAACACTCTAAGCTATTTTTCTTATGGTGTGGATGCATAGATAAGAATAACCTACGAATAATAATAATGTTTAGCATCTATATATCCTTTAATAGCTTATGGAATAGTTTAAGAGACATTCCTCACAAGGTGCATTGGCTCACATCTGTAATCCCAGAGCTTTAAGGGACCAAGGTTGGAGGATTGCTTGAAGCCAGCCTGGGCAACATGGCAAGACATTGTCTCTACTAAAAAAAAAAAAAAAAAAAAAAAAAAAAAAAAAAAAAAAAAAAAAAAAAAATGGAAGAAAGAAAAAAGAAAAAAACAGTTGAGAGTGGTGATCTTTCTCTGTAGTCCTAGCTATTCAGGAGGCTGAGGCAGGAGGCCCAGGTGGGAAGATATTTGAAGCCAGGAATTCAAGACTAGCATGGGTAACATAGCAAGACCACATCTCTACAAAAAAATCTTAAAAATTAGCTGGGCATGGTGGCACATACCTTTAGTCCCTGCTACTCAAGTGGCTGAAACAGAAGGATCACTTGAGCCCAGGTGTTCAAGGCTGAAGTGAACTATGATCACTCACTGCAATCTAGACTGAGCAACATAATAAAATCTTGTCTCAAAAGCATATATATATACACATATATATATATATATCTCAACGGTAAACTGAAATTGATATAACTGTACTGTAAAGACAGGTAAATAATACCCATTAGCCATTTATAAGTGACATTTATATAGGGAAAAGCACAATTTCCAAAAAATGTTTAAATGATTAAACAATTTAAAATTAGATTTTGTGTTTTTATGTCTTTAAAGTAGTGGTTCCCTAAGATTAAAAAAATCATTTTTTATGATTAATTGTCAATGTACCTCTTAACATGAATTATAAATCACACAACTTCAATTGACTTAGGTAGGAAAAAAATTATGATGTAACTTTATTTACTTCTATCGCTACACAAATTTAGGAAGTATTTGTCTATTTTCATGCTATCTATATTAACAACCATATACTAACCATAACACAATAATAAATATTTATTCCTATAACTATCATTAATGCTAAATCAAGAATACACATCCACATCTGTTAGTGTTACACCAACTCCTCAAAGGCAGAATGATGTCCCAGAGGGCCATATTTCTGCTCATAATAAGTACAACTGAAAGGGACTTTTCTTGAAAATCTTTTTGACAATAAACAGAAAATAGGGGATTCTCAAGCATCAGATATTTTCAGTTTCCTAAAACAAGATTCCTGAGAACAATACATCAGATCACTTAGAAAATAACCAGAATGTGGATACAATGTCAAAAATGCCCTTGCAACTTCTTAAGTATTTCATAAAAAATAAGTGCTGCTATTTTTAATGAATCTTATTTTATATATGATTTGAAATATTGTTATGTAAAATATTAATTTATTAAATATTGCCAATAGATATTAAGTACTATTTATATCTCTAAAATTATACATTTAGTTTGTCTGTTTTTAAGCAATTTCTAATTTGAAAAATGCAGTATTTTCTTATATTGTGCCATATAGGATTCTGTAGTCTTATGACTAATGGAAGAGTTTATTACTTAAACATTTCTATTTTTGGTTCAAGAGAAACTTACATGCTATTTGCTTGTTACTTTAACCCCTACTCAATGTCTTATACATGATATATGCTATTTGTGTTTGCTCTCTCTCTCTGTCTTCATTCATACATATATATGAATTGAACCAGCAGGAGTTCTATCTTAGATACATTGAAACAGGTATATTACACACACACACACACACACACACACACACACACACACAGAGTAAAATAACACATACATACATACATATATACATTTTATAGTATGTATTCATTACCTGGGTTTAACCCTTGTCCTCTTCTTTGTTGTATCTATATCCACTTGGTAAACTCATTCAATCTTATGACTCTAAATAGCACGTATATGCTGTTAACCCTCAAATTTAGATCTCTGAATATCTCTTTCTAACTTTCAGCCTCATATATCTTATTGCCTACAGAACGTCTCCACTTGTATATGTATGGGGTATATATACGCATGTGTCTGTGATGTGTGTGTGTGTGTGTGTGTGTGTGTGTGTGTGTAATATATGCTTCAGTGTATCTAAAACTGAACTCATGGTTACCACAACCATTTCTTATTTGCAGATACTTCCATCTTAGTTGATGGAAGCAGCATCTCTATAGGTGTTTCATTCAAAATCCTTGCACTCATTCTTGAGTCCCCCCTCTCTCTCCTTCTTTCACTCTATCATACCTTCCCATAAATGCAGTGAACATTCTGTGCATAGTACCTTGAATCTGACTGCTTCTCACCCTTTTTGTCTCATAACATGTATTGCTGGCTTATATCCAATATTATTTACTTTTTATTAGGGTGATTATGGTTTATGTTACCATATTAGAATATATATAAACTGAGTGAGGATATAAAGCTTTTTAAGTTTCATTCACTAATATATCCAAAATCCTTAGAACAGAAGTCAAGAAATACTATCTGCTGAGTGAATGAATAGAGTTGTTATTTATATGTTGCTGCCACTGTTCAGCCAGTGTTGAACGCAGGATTTAGGCATAGTAGTGACTTGAATTATTTATGAAAAAAATGAGTGAATGCATATGATGATTGTATGAGCATTGTAAACCGGCACACCACTTGAGTAGAATGCACTTCGTTTTATAACCTAAGTATTAAAAAGGTTTCTGGCATCACAAAACTTTAGTATCACATTTTTTTTTCTGATTCAATTAAAGCAATCTATACTCATATTCTAAATCATATGACCTTTTCCTCCTCTGTCTTCTTTCTGTTAGTGTTTAGTTTTTTTCTTCCTCTCTATTTCATTTGTTTAAGCAAATATTATCAATTATGGAATAATACAGACACTCAGGCAGACATTATCTTCCCAAGCCTCACTTTCCTAAGCACAGTAACAGTCAGCAACTTGTTCATATTCCATTCTCTTGCCGAACCAGTTATGCTTATCTGCTGATTCTGACACAATGGAAGGAAAAATTTAATTAATATTGTGATATCCATCAAACTGAGGTTCTCTTGTTCTCAGAACTAAATAGCTTTATATTTATCTTTTGCTTATATACACTATGTACTAAGAAGGCTGTCTACTCTAGATCCCAGTGTCATTTAAGTACAATTTACAATTTAAAAGAAATAATTCATTTCACATCAAAACTGAGGATGTCATCTTTACTAAATTTAGTTTAACATTTTTCCTAAGCTTCTTCATTAGAATTTTAAACAGCTTAATTGGATATGAGTAACATAGGCCATCACTAAATATTGTTTAAGAGCTTTTATAAAAGGTAATCTGCTAATTTAAAAATATTTAAGATAAACAGTTACAGATATAGATGTAGATATGTAGTCTTTCCAGAAATATTAATATTAATTTAAAATCTGACAAAATAATAAAATGTTCTTCTCTAAGCTATTTTTAGTAATTTTTTAGTTAGAATTTAGTATATGCTGTTAAAAGTTCAATAAATTTAGCATTTTAGTGTTCTCAAATAAAGATGAAGTGACATACATTTGGAATTTATGAAAACTTGAAAGATATTCCTGAAAGCCAAGTTTTCAAGCTGGAACTTGAAGAAGGAATCACAAAAAAATCAACTTGCATTAATATCAATCAGTATAGAGTCATATAAAATGTTTACTAACTTCTTTTATGTATCTTTTCAATGAGTAACATTGTGAGTCAAAGTTCTATTATTTCATGGAAGGCTCTTGTCAATGAGTAAAATATGTAGGTCTAATGATTGACAATATACTTGTCAGAAACAGGCCACATGTCTATGCCTGCTAAACTAGATACCATGGCAACACCTGGTTAGTAAAAGTTGAAGAAATATTTTGTAGTTTTGCATTTGTTAGAGCTGCTGGACTGTAACAGATATGTATTAATTGGAAGTAGATGTGACAGCTTACAGCAGTTACTAAGATAGGAAGCAAATCATCAGCACCTGTCAAGGCTAAGGACTGAAAAAAGATGAATCAAATGCTATGATGTGTGACTTCAAACACAGTGTCACTTTTGTGTACCCATGATTTGTAAAAAGTGTGGGGAAATGTGGGAATTTGTTAATATATAAATATTTTCATCAGTGTCTTAAAGATATGAAAAAAATAATCACCTGTCAAGTTAAAAAGGGTAAATTATAAATTCAAAAGAACACATAAGACTTTGACAGTTCTAATCATGTGCCATCACCATGATTTCACAACACAAGATGCAGAGACGCATGAAAGATATTCCAAATAGGGACTGGCAGTTTTAGTATGCAAAACAGCATTGGCTCTCTTCTGACAGGTTAAATATGGTTAGACAGTTTTAGATAACAAAGCCCTCCAAAGTTAAAAATCACATTTCCATGCCTTTCAATGATAGACAGAAAAGTAATTTTATCAATAGTGTCAGTTTCCCAATTTGCTGAAAACATAAAATACTGTTTCCAGTCTTTTGCCAATGCATGTTCTACAAATGTATTTAATAATTAACTGATAAGTAGGTGTAGGAGGCTCTTATAGTTAGAAATAAATATACAGATACCTTCTTGTGCACACGCTTGCTGTCGATTTTGCTTTGCCCAAATTTTTGCTCTGAATAAGGTAATAATTTTTTATTTGACTGAAGCTCACCAATGAAAATCTCAGTATCAAATATGCATATGTGCCCCTTGTATCTAAAATAAAAGTTGAATTTTGTTTGTTTTATTTTTATTTTTTTTAAATTTTATTATTATTATACTTTAAGTTTTAGGGTACATGTGCACAACGTGCAGGTTTGTTACATATGTATACATGTGCCATGTTGGTGTGCTGCACCCATTAACTCGTCATTTAGCATTAGGTATATCTCCTAATGCTATCCCTCCCACCTCCCCCACCCCACAACAGTTCCCGGTGTGTGATGTTCCCCTTCCTGTGTCCATGTGTTCTCATTGTTCAATTCCCACCTATGAGTGAGAACATGCGGTGTTTGTTTTTTTGTCCTTGCGATAGTTTGCTAAGAATGATGGTTTCCGGTTTCATCCATGTCCCTACAAAGGACATGAACTCATCATTTTTTATGGCTGCATAGTATTCCATGGTGTATATGTGCCACATTTTCTTAATCCAGTCTATCGTTGTTGGACATTTAGGTTGGTTCCAAGTCTTTGCTATTGTGAATAGTGCCGCTATAAACATATATGTGCATGTGTCTTTATAGCAGGATGATTTATAATCCTTTGGGTATATACCCAGTAATGGGATGGCTGGGTCAAATGGTATTTCTAGTTCTAGATCCCTGAGGAATCGCCACACTGACTTCCACAATGGTTGAACTAGTTTACAGTCCCACCAACAGTGTAAAAGTGTTCCTATTTCTCCACATCCTCTCCAGCACCTGTTGTTTCCTGACTTTCTAATGATCGCCATTCTAACTGGTGTGAGATGGTATAGCATTGTGGTTTTGATTTGCATTTCTCAATATTTTACCCTGAGTACATAAGTATTAAATTTACATTGTGAAAAATTTGAAAGTAGAGAGTATCATCAAAGAGAAAAACATTACCATAATTCCATGATCCAGAGATAATTAGTATTAACACTTTGCTGGATGTCTTTCTGTCATCTTTCTATGCATACCTATAACAATTACTATATGTGTATATGCATGTATGTACATGGATGTATATAAGTATACACAAGTCATTACAGTTTCAGGATCATACTATATATGGCTTTTTCTAAACTTTTTTTACCTATAAATATATCATAATTGTCTGAAAAAAATTAAAAATAATTTTAAAATAAAAATAGCTATGCAACTAGATTAAATTCTCAGAAAAGTCATTCAGGGCTCTAGAAATCAATGATAGCAAACAACAAATTGAGAAGTATAGACTCACCAAAAACTGAAGAACATCAGTTAACAGAGACAGAAAGTAGAATTCTGGCATGAAGCTACTACCCTCATCTACTCTTCTAGCTGGGTCCACATGGATAGTGTACCATAGTGGGGCTGGCCTTGAAACCCACAGCTTCACTGCTGGAGGTAGCTGACATGATTTGGAACAGAGCATGGTGTGTAGAAAGCATTTGAGATAGAAAAAACAGGTAACAAAATGACAGAAGTAAATCCAGCCATATATATTTTTAAAAAGGTGGAAGAGATGATGGGGCAGAGATGCTGATATAAAATATATTCTTCAAATTTTTACAACAAAATTTATCTTGAGGTTATTATTAATGTGTGACTGATAACTGTTAAGTGAGCCAAGAGTAACTACAAACGAACAAACATAAACAGTATGGTGGAATTTCTTTCTTTTTTTTTTTTTTTTTTTTTGAGACGGAGTCTCGCTGTCGCCCAGGCTGGAGTGCAGTGGCGCAATCTCGGCTCACTGCAGGCTCCGCCCCCTGGGGTTCACGCCATTCTCCTGCCTCAGCCTCCCGAGTAGCTG
This sequence comes from Homo sapiens, assembly GCF_000001405.40. Classification (NCBI taxonomy): domain Eukaryota; kingdom Metazoa; phylum Chordata; class Mammalia; order Primates; family Hominidae; genus Homo; species Homo sapiens. The sequence goes on along the minus strand of NC_000006.12, from coordinate 102,550,807 downwards.
GGACTACAGGCGCCCGCCACCTCGCCCGGCTAATTTTTTGTATTTTTAGTAGAGACGGGGTTTCACCGTGTTAGCCAGGATGGTCTCGATCTCCTGACCTCGTGATCCACCCGCCTCGGCCTCCCAAAGTGCTGGGATTACAGGCGTGAGCCACCGCGCCCGGCCGGAATTTCATATTACTTGGGGATTGTATTCTATATAAAGCAAATAATTTTAAGCAACTTAATCTTAACATCCCTTAGTAACATGCCACTTTGGAGATGACTATGCATTTGACAAAGGACAGTACTTTCTTTAGTGTTGAGGACTAGGAGAAATAACTGGCTTGGAATCTGAGACCACATTGTCATGAAAAATTACGATGAAATATAAATAAATAAAACAGTTCTTTAACAAACCACACTCTTACTTGGCTCAGAGTCACTTATAGACAACAATCATTCAGATTTACCCAGGACCAAATATTTACTGACTGAAAAATAATTTATATCACCCTCAAGAAGTCTAGTCATATCATTAAAAAATTCAGTATTGCCTTTTCAAATTATCAAGCTGTTTCCATGATATATTTTGTTATTAGGCAATATGCTTGCATTATTATGCTTTTTAGAGGCAGATTTTTAAGCAAATATAATGATGTACTTTTTAAAAATTTTGTTTTAACCATTTAAAAATAATTTAGTCTTCTTTAAAGCCTGCATATTTTTTCCTTGTGTACCTCAGACTAATTTTAGGATATATCATAAAGAAAGCATTTTAAAGTCTAGTTTATCAGTACATGTTAGCAAATAGCCTTTCCTCTCCACTTCATTTTTGGAATCCACTATGTGATAGGGACTGTACCAGATGTTGGTGGAAGAATTCTAAAGAAGAGTAACTCATGTTCCATACAAAAATACTTTCTCTCAAAGTGATTTCCTTGGAAGAGTTGTTCCTTAGAGCGATGTGTCCTCAAATAGGTCTATCAAAAACTAATTGGGAAAAGTAAAATTTTATTCATTTTCCACAAAAGAAGCACTCTGAAAGATTGACTGATCTGCTTTCTGTGGGTTACTAGAGGTTTTATTAGTCGAAAGCACTTAACGTTAGTAATCAAAGTGAGTAATAAGAAAGAGAAATATGAGATGGGGAGTGGAAAAACAAGGAAGCTGATGTTTTACTAAGATTAAGTTCTCAGGCTTGTAAATCTCACAAGTAGATGGGCATAGGGCAAGTACATCTGAGTGTGAAAATCTTGTGGGTTTTGAGTTTAGCAAAAAAAAAGTGGCTACATTATGTTTGAGATTTGGAATTGTTTGTTCCGTAGGGACTGAAGGAAGATCCATATTCTTTTTTCTTTCTTCACTTCGTCATAGATTAGTTTTTCCTTTATTAGTCACATCCAAATCTACACCACTCAGAATTCTTGTCAAGGCATGATGTTTGCAATTTCCACTTGTGGACACAAACTGTCTTTCAAATTATCGAGTGGAGTGTCACTCACTGAATATTCTGCAAGGAAAGAGACTGAAAAGTAAGTTTTAAAAAGACTTTAGATAGCATATAAAAATTAAGGCATATGATAAAAATTATTAGTAATCTTCATAAAATTCCCATTAACAATCATCTGAGATTTCTGAAGAGATCCAGAAAAAACAAAAAGCTAGAAGTTAAAGGTTTGACAGTTTTCAAAGTTATGTCAAGTGAGAAAGGACAATTAGTAAGTATTTGAATTATGTGAGACAACATAGTGTAGATAGTACAATGTAGATAGACAACATAGTGTAGATGGGTAGATAGTGTAAGAATGAGTGGGATCTCCCCAGCCACCAAAGGAACTTTGGTGTAAATCCAGAAATCAGACTAGTTATACATTTAGGCTAGGCCATATGTGAGTTGGAGACATGAGTTTTCTAAATACCAACTAAAAGCAAAAGCAAAAGGACAAAAACTAACGTGAGTACCACATTGTGTTAAAGCTAGAGATATCTATAAACAGTGATTATGTTCAGAATTTGAGTAAGCAGTAAATATAGCAAATAAATAAATATGCCATCATCTTTCCCTGTTGCCCTTAGCAGAAGCTATTATATTTGGTTACCTAAATAATGCAACGTTCTTGAGCTGAATTCTTCCAAGGACCATCTGCTTTGGTAGAACTCCTACACATCTTCAGCTTGATATTTTCAGTAGGGTCAGTTGTTTCTGCAGAGAAAGCTGTTGCATTTTTTTATTTGGAGACTTAAATCCAAGGATAAACTCTTTGGAGTTGACTTGTAGTGGGAACAACTTGTTAGTGGTCTTACTGATCGATGAGGCTCATTTTCACATGGCTTTAAAGCATATTTTCTCTGGTGTCTTTTCCAAAATATGAAGTCATTTTGTTGAAGGTCAAGAAGAAAGCTCTCAGGCAACAGTTGGTAATATGTCTTGGTATGCCATTTGTCCTTTATAATATACATCTATATCAGCTTGTGTATTTTCCATTTCCTCGCTGCTGATAAAGACATACCTGAGGCTGGGCAATTTGCACAGGAAAGGGTTAATGGAGAACTCACAGTTCCACGTGGCTGAGGAAGCCTCACAATCATGGCAGAAGGCAAGGAGAAACAAGTCACATCTTAACATGGATGGCAGCAGGCAAAAAGAGAGGAGTGCTTGTGCAGGGAAAACCCCTTTTCCATAACCATCAGTTCTCGTGAGATTTATTCACTATCACAAGAACAGCACAGGAAAGACCTGCCTCCATGATTCAGTTACCTTCCACTGGGTCCCTCCCACAACACGTGGGAATTCAAAATGAGATTTGGTGGGGACACAGCCAAACCATATAAGCTTGTAATAAAGCTGGGTCTACAGGAGATTCCTAAGGGCATTTGGTGCTCCACAGCTAATTTGTAGGCTGAAAACTTTCTTTAATGAAAGGTTACAAATACATAGCCCTGAGATTTAAAAAAAAAAGAAAAAAAAAAAAAAAGAAGGTTGTGGGGGGATGAGGATCTTGGGCTGGGAATCTTGTCCGTAGATAAATTGGCCAGATTTCTTGATAGTATAATCAACTCTTATTGTTCCATAGGTTTGAGTCATAGGAACGAGTAGATTTTGTGTCAATTGTAATACATTTTAAAAGAAAATATATTAGAAAATTAATCTCCTTATCATCAAAAAATTTGTTTAACTACCCCAACTTATACAAATTTTAGAATATTTTGCTACGGTCAAGCAATTAAGACTCCAACATGAGAAATGTTCCGTTCATCCAAAACGAAAGTATAAAATACTTGATACATGGTCTGAATCCAGGCTGTGGCATTGTAGTAAAATTTATCTGTTCATGTTTAAATAAGTCCTGAGAATTGGTTCTCATACCTATCCCACTTTTAGAGTTTTCCTAGAATTATGACATTAACAAAGAGAACACCTGCCAGAAATATCCTCGGAAATCTGGGTTAGGTTGCCCTACCAATGTCGGTTTAATGTTGGCCATTATTTATTGTCATGATAATAAAATTAAATCACTCTGCTTAATACAGAATGTTAATCATCACTATCAGAATGGAAGATAGTATAATTTGCTCTTGAAGTATACATATAATTAATTATAGGTATATAGTCAACAGTTACTCTGGGAGTAAGAAGGTTTCATGAACATGGAGGACACTGAAGAAACTTCAGGACTTTTAAAATTCATATTATAAAATAGTTCATAAATGTTCATGATTGGTGAGAGAATTGAAAAAAATAAATCATTATTGCAACAGCCTTTGTCTTTTACCATGAGTATTTTAATTTTCACCTAAAAAGTAAGTAATAATTAAATCATTGAACCAATAGTTTTACATAAAATAGAATTTGGAGAATTTGAAGTAAACAATTATTTTTATTATCATTTCTCTAACAAGGGGAAAAAAGGAAATATTTATATTATTTGGTGGCCACAAACTAAATGTAACTAAAGAACAAAAATCGTCATCTTTTTTCTTTTTATTTAGATGCAATTTCACTTTTATTGCCCAGGCTGGAGTGCAATGGCGCGATCTCGGCTCCCCGCAAACTCCTCCTTCCGGATTCAAGCGATTCTTGTGCCGCAGTCTCCGGAGTAGCTGGGACTACAGGCACCTGCCACCACGCCCAGATAATTTTTGGTATTTTTAGTAGAGACAGGGTTTTACCATGTTGGCCAGGCTGGTCCTGGACTCCTGACCTCAGGTGATCCGCCCACCTTGGCCTTCCAAAGTGCTGGGATTACAGGGGTGAGCCACCGCACACGGCCCCAACAAAACTCATCTTAACACTCCTTTATTTCTGAATTTAAGGCCTGAATTTTGGGCAGAAAAATGAAAGAATTGTGACTATTAATTATAAACAAGGAGGACAAATGTAATTATAGACAATATTTTTAAAAACACAGCAATAAGTAGCAGTGATTAGTGATAATTTAATTATTCTTTAACTTCGAAATAATTTTTTAAAAAATGATTTATGAATTTCACAAATACAGAGATTTAGAAGAAGATTTTACTAATAAAAAGGAACTTCTGTTATCTGAGAGTGAAACAACATGGTCATTTTAAGGGAAAAACTCCAATTTAATATGTCGTCTTTGTAAATATCTGTTAAGCAAAAAAAAAAAAAAAAAATTCAGTAAACTATTTATAAGCCTCTTATCCTTATAAGGAAAATTGGCATAAGCATGGTAACATACCTCACATTTTTTAGTAAATTAATTGTTTGATTGTACTTTTAACACAGGCAGTGAATATTACTTTTGTTCAAATGTTCATTATACATGATACATCTTCAAATTTCTCTTGAATTTAATTAATTTTTAAAAGTTAAATTTATTTAGACTTAAATAATCTTAATATAAATGTGTACATGTGCATTTAAATAAATAAAATAAGGTTGGGCATGGTGGCTTATGTCTGTAATCCCAGCACTTTGGGAGGCCGAGGCTGGCGGATCACGAGGTCAGGAGTTCGAGACCAGCCTGGCCAACACAGTGAATCCCTGTCTCTACTAAAAATACAAAAATTATCTGTGCGTGGTGGTGTGAGCCTGTAGTCTCAGCCACTCGGGAGGCTGAGGCAGGAGAATTGCTTGAACCAGGGAGGTGGAGGTTGCAGTGAGCCAAGATGGCGCCACTGCACTCCAGCCTGAGCAACAGAGCTAGCTTCCATCTCAAAAATAAATAAATAAATAAAATATGATTATATAACTAAATAATACAATTAAAGTGTTTATTATTTTAAAATTAAAATTAACTGTATTCAGTTATTAAATTTATTATCTTAATAAACTAAAATTGCTTGGGGAACAAGCCATAATTTTTTCTATGTACTAAATATTTGTGTTCTCCCAAAAGTTGATATTTTGAAACCCTAACAGCCCAAAGTGATGATATTAAGAGGTAAGGCCTTTGGCAGGTAACTAGGTCATGAGGTAGAAATAGATTTTGGATCCTCACCCTTCTCCAAACTTCACCCTCAAGTAGACCCCCATGTCTGATGTTTCCTTCTTTGTGTTCATATACACCTGATGTTTAGCCCCCACTTATAAATCAATCTCCTTATGAATGGGATTAGTGGCCCTATAAAAAGACACAAGAAAGCTTTCTTTCTTTCTCTCTCTTTCTTCTCTGTGCCATGTGAAAATACAGCAATAAGAAAACCACTGGCAAAGCAGGAAGAAGGCTTTCACCAGACACCAGATATATTGGTGCCTTGACCTTGGACTTCCCAGCCTAAAGAACTGTGAGAAATAAAAGTCTGTTATTAAGCCACCCAGTGAATGATAATTACAGCAGCCAAAACTGATTAAGACATTTTATTAATTAGCCACTTTAATCAAACTGACAAATTGGTGTTTCCTTTAGGGCCAGAGGGGAAAATATGACAAAGAAAACAAAATATTTTATAATACATTTACAAATTGTATCGTGGGAAAAGTTTTTAAACACTTACACATCTTTTAATCTATAGCCATCCTATAATTAATATGTATAATGAACAGTATGTTAAATGACAAATGTTTTGTTTTTTTACTTAATAATTGCCTAGATAGCAGAAGTATTTATTAGTAAATTTGATTTAATATTCATTTTAATATTAGTTTGAGGATTAAATCAGAATCTGCATGTAAACCAACGTATTAAGCCCTCATAATTTATAATAAAGGTATTTACAAGATTAAACAAATTTTAAAAATATCTGCTAATATAATTTCACTTATTAAATGTATTTTTCCATATTTAAATAATTTGTGAGAAAGCAATAATTTTCTCATATTGTAAAAATCTTGTAAAATATGTATACAGCTTAAATTAGCCTTATATAAAACTTGAATAGTGTGTTGCCATCAGATTTATATAACTGAGCAACAGAAAGGCATACACTTACCTTTTCTATTTTGTTTTTTTTTTATTTTATTCTAAGTTCAGTAGTACATGTACAGATATGTTATACAGGTAAATTGTATATCACAGGAGTTTGGTGTACAGATTATCACAATCACACAGATAATAAGCATAGTACCAATAGGTAGTTTTCTGAACCTCACCCTCCTCACCCTCCTGCCACCTTCCACCTTCAAGTAGGCCCCGGTGTCTGCTGTTTGCTTGTTTGTGTCCATATGTACCCGATGTTTAACTCCCTCTTATAAGTGAGAACATGTGGTATTTGGATTTCTGTTCCTGTGTTATTTTACGTAGGATTTATGGCCTCCAGCTCCATCCATGTTGCTGCAAAGGATATTATTTCTTTCTTTCTATAGCTGTGTAGTAAGTATTCTGTGGTATATATGTACCACATTTTCTTTATCCAGCCTACATTTGATGGGCATTTAAGTTGCTTCCATTTTTCCTATTGCAAAGAGTGCTGTGATAAGCATATGTATGCATGTGTCTTTATGGTAAAATGATTTATATTCTTTTGGGTATATACCCAGGAGGGATTGCTGAGTTGAATGGTAATTCTGTTTTAAATTCTTTGAGAAATTGCCAAACTGCTTTCCACAATGGATGAACTAATTTTCATTCCCACCAGCAGTATATGAACATTCCCTTTTCTCTGCAACCTAGCCAGCATCTGTTATTTTTTGACTCTTTAATAATAGCCATTCTTACTGGTGGGAGAGGGTATCATCTTGTGGATTTTATTTGCATTTCTCTAGTGATGAGTGATGTTGAGCATTTTTACTAATTAGCAACTTTGTACTTCTTGGCCACATGTATGTCTTCTCTGAAAAGTGTCTGTTTATGTCCTTCGCCCACTTTTTAATGGCAATATTTGTTTTTTGCTTATACATTTGTTTAAGTACCTTATAGATTCTGGATATTAGACCTTTGTTGTATGCACAGTTTGGAAATATTTTATCATATTCTGTAGATTGTCTGTTTACTCTGTTGATACTTTCTTGTGCTGTGCAGAAACCCTTTAGTTTGATTAGGTCCCATTTGTCAATTTTTTATGTTGCGACTGCTATTGGCATCATCATCATGAAATCTTTGCCAGGGCCTCTATCCAGAATGGTATTTCCTAGGTTTTCTTTTAGGGTTTTTATAGTTTTAGGTTTTACACTTAAGTATTTAGTCCATTAAATTGATTTTTGATCAACTCAGTGGATTAAAGACTTAAATGTAAAGCTGTAACTGTACATGTAAAACTGTAAATGTAAAAATGTAGTGATGTAAGAAAAGGGTCCAAAGTGGAATCAGTAATAACAAGACTGCCAACCAAAATAAGTCCAAGACCAGGCAGATTCACAGTTGGATATTACCAGATGTATAAAAAGAGCCGGTACCACTATTACTGAGACTATTCCAAAAAATTGAGCAGGAGGGACTCTTCCCTAACTCATTCTATGAGGCCAGCATCATCCTGACTCCAAAACCTGGCAGAAACACAACAAAAAAAGAGAGCTGTAGGTCCATAATTTTGATGAACATAGATGCACAAATCCTCAACAAAATAATAGCAAACTGAATCTAGCAGCATATCAGAACGATAATCCACCACTATAATCAAAATGGCTTTATCCCTAAGATGCAAGGTTGGTTTAACATATGCAAATCAATAAATGTAATTCATTTAATAAACAGAACTAAAATAAAAACTACAAGATTATCTCAATAGATGAAGAAAAAGCATTTTATAAAATTCAACACCCCTTCATGTTAAAAACACTCAACAAACTAGGCTTTGAAGGAACATACTTCAAAACAATAAGAGCCATTTATGACAAACCGACAGCCAACATCATTCTGAATGGGCAAAAGCTGGAAGCATTCCCCTTGAAAACCAGCACAAGACAAAGATGTCCTCTCTCACCATTGCTATTCAATATAACACTGGAATTCCTGGACAGAGCAATCAGGCAAGAGAAAGAAATAAAAGTCATCCAAATAGGAAGAGAGGGATTATCTCAAATTATCCCTGTTTGCAAATTATATGATTTTATAACTACAAAACCCTATACCCTCTGACTAAGAGCTTTTTGATTTGACAACTTCAACAAAGTTTTACAAAATTGATGAATAAAAATAAGTAACTTTCCTGACCACCAACAAAATCCAAGCTGAGAGCCAAATCAGGAATGTAATCCCATTCAAAATAGCCACAAAGAGAATCAAATACCTAGAAATACAGCTAACCAGGGAGGTGAAAGATCTTTACGATAAGAATTACAAAACACTGCTCAAAGAAATCAGAATTTACATAAACAAAAAAAAATCCATGCTCATAGACAGGAAGAGATTCAGTTTCAATATTCTGCTTATGGCTAGCCAGTTATCCCAGCACCATATATTGTCCATGGTCATGGACAGGAAGAATCAATATTTTTAGAATGGCCATACTGCCCAAAGTACTTTAAAGATTAAATGCTATTCTTATCAAATGACCAATGATTTTTTTTACAGAATTAGTGAAACGTATTTCAAAATTCATATAGAACCAAAAAAAAAGAGCCCAAATAGCCAAGGCAATCATAAGCAAAAATAACAAAGTTGGAGGCATGACGTTACCTGACTTCAATGTATACTACAAGGCTACAGTAACTAAAACATCATGGTACCGGTACAAAAACAGACACATAGACCAATGGAACAGAATAGAGAGCCTAGAAATAATGTGGCACACCTACAAACATTTGATCTTTAACAGATTCAACAAATGCAAACTATGAGAAAAGGACTCTTTATTCAGTACATGGTGCTGGGATAACTGGTTAGCCATAAGCAGAATATTAAAACTGAACCCCTTTATTATCTTTAAATGGATACAATTAATTAATTATAATATAGAAAACTAATATAAAATTTAACAATTAGTGCAAAATCCCTTTTGTGAGGCAATTTGAAACCAGTTTACTTACCTAAATTTTATATGAAATCTCAAGGGACCCTGAATAGCCAAAGCAATCTTGCAAAAGAACAGCCTCGGAGGTCTAACAATTCTTAATTTTAAAATGTGTTACAAAGCTACAGTAATCAATCAAAACTATGTAGCATTGGCATAAAAACATAATTATATAACAATGCAATAGAATAGAGAGCCCACATATAAAATCTTGCATATATAATATAATTTTTGACAAGGGAGCTAAAATCATTTAATGAAGAAAGATCATTCTTTTCTAAAAATAGTGCTGAGATAATACAGGTAGAAGCTTACCTTATTCCATATACAAAAATTAATTCAGAATGCATTAAAGACCTAAACATAAGGACTAAATTGATAAAAGTCTAAGAAGAAATCATAGGAAAAAAGGTTTATGACATTGAAATTAGCATTAATTTCTTGGTTATGACACCAAAAACAAGACAAAGAGTAAAAATAAATAAAGTGGACCACATCAAAATAAAGACAAACATATAAAAATACCTGTGCATCTAAAACACAATCAACAGAGTGAAAAGACAACTATGGAATGGAAGAAAATGTTTGCAAATTACATATTAAGTTAAAAATAGCGAAAGAACTTGAATAGAGCTTTTTCTTTAGGCAATATGCAAATGGCTAACTACTAGATGACAAAATGCTAAACATCACTAATCATTAGGGAAATGCAAATTTACACCAGAAAGAGATACTACCTCACAGGCATTAGGAAGGCTAAAATCAAAAACAAACAAAACAAAACAAAATAGAAAACAATTGTTTGGGAAGAGGTGGAAAAATTAGAATCCTTTTTCATTGTTGGTAGAAATGCAAAATGGTGCAGCCGCTGTGTAAAACAGTAACACAGTGTCTAAAAATCATTAAAAATAGAACTAGCATATGATCCAGGAATTGACTTCTGGATATATATTCAAAAGAGTTGTAAGGAAGGTCTTGAAGACATACTTGCAAAACCATGTTCATAGCAGCATTATTTGCAATATGATCTCAAACGTCCTTTGATAGATGAATGGATGAGCAATATGTGACATATGCATACAATGGGACAATATTTAGCCTTAAACAGGAAGAGAATTATAATAATACATGTTATAACATAGATGAAACTTGAGGACATTTTGCTAAGTAAAATAAGCTAGTCACAAAAAAACAAATACCATGATTCCACTTATATGAAGTATCTACAGTAATCAAAGTCATGTAAACGAAAAGTAGAATGGTGATCCGGGTGGAGGAGAAATGGGAGTTGTTTTCTAACAGGTATAGAGTTTTAGTTTTGTAAGATTAAAAAGTTCTGGATGTTGATTCACAACCACATAAAAATACTTAACACTACTAAACCATACATTTAAAAGTGCTTAAGATAGTATATTTATTTTATGTGCATTTGTATTAGTCCATTTTATATTCCTATGAAGAAATACCCGAGGCTCGGTAATTTATAAAGAAAAAGAAGTTTAATGGACTCACAGTTCCACATGGCTAGGGAGGCCTCACACGCACGGCAGAAGGTGAAGGAGGGACAAAGACATGTCCTACATGGTGGCAGGCAAGAGAGCATGTGCAGGATAATTGCCCTTCATAAAACCATCAGATCTCATGAGACCTATTCACTATCTTGAGAACATCACCGGAAAAACCCACCCCCATGATTCAATTACCTCCCTCTGGGTCCCTCCTGGAGGTTCCCAAACCTCCACATGGAGATTATGGGAGCTATACTTCAAGATGAGATTTGAGTGAGAATGCAACAAAACCATATCATTCTAGGCCCTCCCAAATCTCATGTCCTCACATTTCAAAACACAATCTTTCCTTTTCAACTGTCCTCCAAAGTATTACTGCATTTCAGCATTAACTCAAAAGTCCACAATTCAACGTCTCATCTGAGACAAGGCAAGTCCCTTCCACCTATGAACCTGTAAAATGAAAAGTACGTTAGTTACTTCCTAGATACAATGGGGGTACAGGCAGTGGGTAAATACACCCATTCCAAATGGCAGAAATTGTCCAGAACAAAGGGGCTACAGGCCCCATGCAAGTCTTAAATCCAATAGGGCAGTTATTAAACCTTAAAGTTTTAAAATAATCATCCCCTTTGACTCCATGTCTCACATCCAGATCACGCTGATGCAAGAGGTGGACTTCCCAAGCCTGAGGCTGCTCCATCCCTATGGCTTTGCAGGGTGCAAGTCCCATCCTGGCTGCTTTCATGGGCTGGCATTGAGTGTCTGAGGCTTTTCCAGGTGTACAATGCAACTTGTTGGTAGATCAACCATTCTGGGGTCCAGAGGACAGTGACCCTCTTCTTACAGCCCCACCAGGTAGTGCCCCAGTGGGGACTCTGTGTGAGGGGTCGTACTCCACATTTCCCTTTCACATTGCCCTGGCAGAGGTTCTCCATGATGGCCCTGCCCCTGCAGCAAACTTCTGCTTGGAGATCCAGGCATTTCCATACATCCTCTGAAATCTAGGTGGAGGTTCCCAAACCTCACTTCTTGACTTCTGTGCACTTGTAGGCTTGCAGGCTCAACACTACATGGAAGCTGCTAGGGCTTGGGTCTCACACCCTCTTAAGCCACAGCCTGAGCTGTACCTTGGCCCTTTTAGCCATGGCTAGAACAGCTGGGATTCTGGACACCATGTCCCAAGGCTGCACACAGCAGGGGGTGCCCTTGGCATGGCCCATGAAACTATTATTTCCTCCTAAGCCACTGGGCCTGCGATTGGAGGGACTGCTGTGAAACTCTCTGACATGCCCTGGAGATATTTTCCCCATTTTCTTGGTGAATAATATTTGCCTCCTTGTTACTTATGCAAATTTCTGCAGCAGGCTTGAATTTCTCCCCAGAAAATAGGATTTTCTTTGTTATTGCATTGTCAGTCTGCAAATTTTCCAAACTTTTATGCTCTGCTTCCTCTTGAAAACTTTGCTGCTTAGAAATTTCTTCCAACAGATACCCTAAATCATCTCTCTCAATTTCAAAATTCCACAGATCTCAAGGGCAGGGTCAAAATGCCACCAGTCTCTTTGCCAAAGCATAACAAGAGTCACCTTTGCACCTAACATCTTCCTCATCTAAGACCATCTCAGCCTGGACTTTACTGTCAGCATTTTGGTCAAGGACATTGAATAAGTCCATAGGAAGTTCCAAACTTTCCCACACTCTTCTGTCTTCTGCTGAGCCCTCCAAATTGTTCCAACCCCCAATCAGTTCCAAATTCACTTTCACATTTTCAGGTATCTTTACATCAGCACCCCATTCTCTGCAGTATCAAATTACTTTACTAGTTCATTTTTATATTGCCATAAAGAGATATCCGAGACTGGGTAATTTATATTAAAAAAAAAAGAGAGAGAGAGAGAGATTTAATGGACTCACAGTTCCACAGGGCTAGGGAGGTCTCGCAATCATGGCGGAAGGAGAAGGAGGAACAAAGGCATGTCTTACATGGCAGCAGGCAAGAGACCATGTGCAGGGGAACTGCCCTTTATAAAACCATCAAATTTCATGAAACTTATTCACTATCATGAGAACAGCATGAGAAAAACCCACCTCCATGATTCAATTACCTCCAGTTGGATCCCTCTCACAACACGTGGGGATTATGGGAGCTAAAATTCAAGATGAGATTTGGGTGGGGATGAGCCAAAACATATCGGCATTTTATCACAACTAAAAATACAAAGTAAAAAGAGAGTCTATATTGTTAAAAAACAAGCCTATATATTCATAAGTCAAATTTCAAATACTCTTTAAATCAAGTTTAAAACTTTTATTATGAAACCAAAAATGTCCTTCTTATAGGTAGTGAATAAGGACATTACTCAGCTACAGCTCTCAATTGCAGTTTTAGTGAGAAAAATTTATTAGCGACAACATTTTTAAAATGAAATGAATATAAACAGTTTTAATTTTTTATTCATTTTATTCATATGGAATTTCTTTACTGTTATTCTGGATGCAGTACAGACATCATTTGGTAAACAAATATTCAGTTTCCCAAGAGACAGGAGAAGAGCCTGGAAAGTGAAGGAGAAAATAAAAAGGTAAAAAGAAGTATGATTGAGGTAGCTTTAGAAAAATGTGAAATAGATATTCTAAAAGGATTATCATCTTTCCTCTAAAAGAGTGGAGAAGGTTCCAATGTAGAAAAAGCTCATTTAGAACCCTGAATCCCATACTTATGAATCCCTCAAGTGTGGAAATCAAGAATGAAGGTTCTTATGAGTTAAACAAAGCAATTACTTTTTATTTTTATTTTTTATTTATTTATTTATTTTTTTATTATTATTATACTTTAAGTTTTAGGGTACATGTGCACATTGTGCAGGTTAGTTACATACGTATATATGTGCCATGCTGGTGTGCTGCACCCACTAACTCGTCATTTAGCATTAGGTATATCTCCCAATGCTATCCCTCCCCCATCCCCCACCCCACAACAGTCCCCAGAGTGTGATGTTCCCCTTCCTGTGTCCATGTGATCTCATTGTTCAATTCCCACCTATGAGTGAGAATATGCAGTGTTTGGTTTTTTGTTCTTGCGATAGTTTACTGAGAATGATGATTTCCAATTTCATCCATGTCCCTACAAAGGACATGAACTCATCATTTTTTATGGCTGCATAGTATTCCACGGTGTATATGTGCCACATTTTCTTAATCCAGTCTATCATTGTTGGACATTTGGGTTGGTTCCAAGTCTTTGCTATTGTGAATAATGCCGCAATAAACATATGTGTGCATGTGTCTTTATAGCAGCATGATTTATAGTCCTTTGAGTATATACCCAGTAATGGGATGGCTGGGTCAAATGGTATTGCTAGTTCTAGATCCCTGAGGAATCGCCACACTGACTTCCACAATGGTTGAACTAGTTTACAGTCCCACCAACAGTGTAAAAGTGTTCCTATTTCTCCACATCCTCTCCAGCACCTGTTGTTTCCTGACTTTTTAATGATCGCCATTCTAACTGGTGTGAGATGGTATCTCATTGTGGTTTTGATTTGCATTTCTCTGATGGCCAGTGATGGTGAACATTTTTTCATGTGTTTTTTGGCTGCATAAATGTCTTCTTTTGAGAAGTGTCTGTTCATGTCCTTTGCCCACTTTTTGATGGGGTTGTTTGTTTTTTTCTTGTAAATTTGTTTGAGTTCATTGTAGATTCTGGATATTAGCCCTTTGTCAGATGAGTAGGTTGCGAACATTTTCTCCCATTTTGTAGGTTGCCTGTTCACTCTGATGGTAGTTTCTTTTGCTGTGCAGAAGCTCTTTAGTTTAATTAGATCCCATTTGTCAATTTTGTCTTTAGTTGCCATTGGTTTTGGTGAGTGAACTCCCATTCACAATTGCTTCAAAGAGAATAAAATACCTAGGAATCCAACTTACAAGGGATGTGAAGGACCTCTTCAAGGAGAACTACAAACTGCTGCTCAAGGAAATAAAAGAGGATACAAACAAATGGAAGAACATTCCATGCTCATGGGTAGGAAGAATCAATATCGTGAAAATGGCCAAACTGCCCAAGGTAATTTACAGATTCAGTGCCATCCCCATCAAGCTACCAATGCCTTTCTTCACAGAATTGGAAAAAACTACTTTAAAGTTCATATGGAACCAAAAAAGAGCCCGCATCGCCAAGTCAATCCTAAGCCAGAAGAACAAAGCTGGAGGCATCACACTACCTGACTTCAAACTATACTACAAGGCTACAGTAACCAAAACAGCATGGTACTGGTACCAAAACAGAGATATAGATCAATGGAACAGAACAGAGCCCTCAGAAATAACACCACATATCTACAACTATCTGATCTTTGACAAACCTGAGAAAAACAAGCAATGGGGAAAGGATTCCCTATTTAATAAATGGTGCTGGGAAAACTGGCTAGCCATATGTAGAAAGCTGAAACTGGATCCCTTCCTTACACCTTACACAAAAATCAATTCAAGATGGATTAAAGACTTAAACGTTAGACCTAAAACCATAAAAACCCTAGAAGAAAACCTAGGCATTACCATTCAGGACATAGGCATGGGCAATTACTTTTTAAAACACACCTGAGAGACAATATATATATCATCATGAAGGCTTCTTTCTCATGTGTCATGAGGTGGCTTTCAAATAGCATGGAATTAAGAACCAATGCTTGCTGATATGTGTAGAAGAGAGATTTAACATGATTTTTCTCTTTGTGTTTTTATATTACCCTCAAAGCTTTTACCCAACAAAAAGTCTTGCAATCAATTTTATTTGTTTCCATTTCTTTATTCCTCAAACTCAGTTAAATTTTTTAACTGATTTTTTATTTTATTTTTAATTTTTTTTTTTAATTAGCTTTATGTAAAGGAGACACTGCAAGAAGGCATTGCTTTGCTAGCCTCATATTCTGATGAACAAGAAAAAAATTTTTTGGATGAAATGTTTTATGATCAAATCAGGATAATTATCATAGCTATCACCTCAAACATTTTTTGGAACAAGGAAAAAATTTTTTGGATACAATGTTTTGTTATCAAATCAGGGTAATTAGCATATCCATCACCTTAAACATTTATTATTTATTTGTGTTGGGAACGTTTGAAATTCTCCTGGTTATTTTAAAATATGCACCAAATTATTGTTAAGTAGTGTCACTCTACAGTGCTGTAGAACACTAGCACTTATTCCTCCTATCTAGTTGTAGCTTTTGTCTACTAACTATCCTCTTTCTATTCCCACCTCTGTGTTATTCCTCTCAGGCCCTAGTAACTATAATTCTACTCTCTATTGACTGAACATTTTTATCTCCTGCTTATGAGTGAGAATATGTAATATTTATATTTCTGTGCTTGACTTACTTCACTTAACATAATGTCCTCCAGGCTCAGCAGTGTTATCACAAAGTACAGGATTTTGCTCTTTTTTATGGCTGAGTAGTATTCTATTGTATATTTCCATTCATCCATTGATGAACATGTAGGTTAATTCCATGTCTTTGCTATTGTGAATAGTGCTGCAATAAATATGTGAGTGCAGATATCTCTGACGTACTCATTTTATTTTCTTTGGATAGATACCTAGTAGTGAGATTGCTGCCTTGCCTGATAGTTCTACTTTTAGTTATTTGAGGAATCTCCATACTATTTTCCATAATGGTTGTACTAATTTACATGCCCACCAATAGCATATAAGAATTCCCTTTTTCCCACATTCTCACCAGCATTTGTTAGGTTCTGTCATTTTGATAATACCTGTTCTAACTGGGGTGAGGTGATATCTCACTGTAGTTTTAATTTGCATTTTCCTGATCATATGTGATGTTCAGCAGATTTTATACACTTGTTGTTCATTTGTATGTGTTCTTTTGATAAATATTATTCAGACTATTTTCCAGTTTTTTAAGTCTGATTATTTGTTTTCTTGCTATTGAGTTGTTTGAGCTCCTTCTATTTTCTGGATGCTAATCCCTTGTCAGATGAATTATTTACAAATATATTTTTTTTCATTCTGTAGGTTGTCCCTTCATTATACTGATTGTTTTATTTTTTGCTGTGCAAAAACATTTTAGTTTGATATAATCCATTTGTCTATTTTTGCTTTTGTTGCTAATGCTTTTGGAGTTTTTTCCATAACATCTTTTCCCAGACCAATATCTCAAAATATTGTCCCTATGTTTACTTCTAGGAATTTAATAGTTTTGAGTGTTACACTTAAACCTTTAATTTGAGTATATGGTGAGAGACAGAGATCCAGTTTTATTCTTCGGTGTTTGGATATCCAGTTTTCCCAGCACCATTTATTGATGAGACTGTCCTCTTCCAAAGCATATTCTTGTTTTTTTTAATCAAAAATCAGTTGAATGCAAGTATTAACATTTATTTCTTTGTTCTCTATTCTGTTCCATTAGTTTATGTGTCTGTTTTTCTACCAATACCATACTGTTTTGGTCACTATAGCTTTGTAGTATATTTTGAAGTCATGTAGTGCGATGCCTACAGCTTTATTCCTTTTGATCAGGATTGCTTTGGGTATTTTCAGTATTTTGCACTTCCATATGAATTTTAGGATTGTTTTGTTTATTTCTGTGAAGAATGCCATTGATATTCTGATCTATGTATTACTTTGTGTAGTATGGTCATTTTGACAATATTAAATTTTTAATCCATGAACATAGATGTTTTTTCCACTTTCTTTTTGTCTTCTTCAATTAATCCATCAGTATTTTGTAGTTTCCATTTTAGGAAATAAACATTGAGTGAAGAGGACACAAAACTGTTTCTGGTTTTGAAGACTGACAAACCAGTTTTTCTCAGATGAAATCCAAATGTCAAACCAAGAATCTCTTTTGACACATAGCTACAATTTAATGTTTTTATTTTTAAAAATTGATACACTGGTGTTCCTTTAGTTCCCTCTATGATTGTTTTCTGATTTACTTTCACATAGACTACCTTTGTATTATTTAATTTAATAACTTTTATTTTAGTAGTTTAAACAAAGCATATATCTTAAGAAATGCTTTATTTTTAATTTATATGCTTTTTTTTTCCTGCCCCATTACATTCCTATCTTGGCTTCAAACAAGCAAATTTTCTCAATTTTGAATTTAACCCTCTCCTGCTTTTATTCATAGTTTAACCACATAAAGATGAACTGGTATTTTATTTAGTTTGCCAATTTATATGATTTATATAAAATGCCAAATTGTATAACTTATATAAAATCATACACTTAAATGTACATCTATAATTTTGTTTTTAAATCTAATATTATGATTTTGAAACTTACTTATAATTAAACATATGACATTTGTCCATTCACTCGTTTATGACATTTTCATTGATTTATTCATTTACATATATATAGCATTTTTAAAATGTTTTACATATATAATTAACAAATAGAAATTGAATATATTCTAAGTGTACACTGTGATTATTTTAAATATGTACACATTCTGAAGAGATTACCACAATCAACACATCCATCGCTATACATGCTGTACACTAAATCCCCAGAACTTGTGTTATAACTGAAAGTCTGAACCCTCTGACCAATATTTCCCCACCGCCTCTGCTCTCAGGCCCCTAGCAACCACCATTCTAATCTCTGCCTCTTTGAGCTCAAGTTTTTATAATTTTTAAAAATTTTTGTGGATATATAGTAAGTATAAGTTCTTTAGATTCCACGTATCAGTGAGGTTATACAGTATTTGTCTTTTGTTCTGGCTTAGTTCACTTGTATAATGTTCATCCATGTTGTTGCAGATGGGAGGATTTTTTTCTTTTTTATGGCTGAATATACTCAGTATTCCATTGTGTATAGATACCACGTTTCTTTATTCACTCATCCATCAATGGACTTTCAAGTTATTTCCATATCTTGGCTATGGTGAATAATGCTTCAGTGACTATGAGAGTGCAGATATCTCTTTGATAGGCTTATTTTATTTCCTTTGGATATATGTCAAGAAGTATGATTGCTGGCTGTTATTATAATTCTATTTTTAATTTTTTGAGGAACCTCCAAACTCTTTTCCTTAATGGTTGTACCAATTTATATTTCTACTCACGTCGTGCAAAGATTTTCTTTTTTTCTATAACCTTACCAACATGTATCTCTTGTCTGTCTAATAATAGGTAAGAGATGATATCTCATTATAGTTTTGATATGCCTTTCTCTGATGATTAGTGATGTTGAGCACCTTTTCCTATATGTTAGTCACTTGTATGTTTTCTTCAGAGATATGTTCATTCCAGTATTTTGCCAATGTTTTAATCAAGCTGTTTGTTTTGCAGTTGTGTTGTATGAGTTTGTTTTGTATTTTGAGTATTAACTCTTTCTCAGATACATGATTTTCTAATATTCTCTCCCATTCTATAAGATATTTTTCATTTTCCTTTGTTTGCTGTGCAGAAGTTTGGTAGTTTAATGTAGTCCCACTCTTTAATTTTGCTTTTATTTTCTGTGCTTTTGGTATTATATCCAAAAATTCATTGTAAAGACAAATATCAAGTAGTTTGCTTTTATGTTTTCTTCTTGAAGTTTTATAATTCCAGACTTCACATTTAAGTCTTTAATCTATTTTAATTTTTGTATATGATATAGGACAAGGACTCAATTTCATTCTTTTCCATGTGGATATCCAGTTCTCCTAACAGTAATCATTTGAAAGACTTTTCTTTCCCAGTTGGTCTCATATAAAGAAAATCCTAACACTCCACAAAATTAAGTTTTGTAAAGTTGCAGAATACAAAATTTACATACAAAATTCACATACAAAAATTTGTTGTGTTCCCATACATTAACAAAGAACTATAAAAAAATAAATTAAGAAAACAATGTCATCACAATGGCATCAAAAATGTAATACTTAGAAATAAATTTAACCAAGGAGGCAAAGGATATTTGTACTGAAAACTATAAGGCATTGATGAGGTAAATTAAAGGATACACAAATAAATGGAAAGATAGCTCGTGTTCATGAACTGGAAGAATTAACATGGTTACAATGTCTATACTACCCAAAGTGATCTGCTGATTCAATACAATTCCTATCTAAATTCCAATGATGTTTTTCCACACAAATAGAAGGAAACTAAAATTCATATGGAATCATAGCAAATAGTCAAAATAATTTTAAGAAAAAAAAGAAAAAAGATGGAGACATCACACTTCCTGGTTTCACATTATATTACAAAACTGTAGTAATTTAAAAAGTATGTTACTGCCATGAAAGGTAGACACATAGACCAATGGAACAGAAGAGTGGACCCAGAAATAAACCCATGTATATATAATCAACTATTATTTGACAAGGAAACTAAAATATTTTAATTTAAAATTTTGGTATTGATAATTGCCATTTAATAGATTTACAGTTGTGTTGCTTTAAAAAATATGCTGCTTAAATATTCTGCAGGTACACATGTGTAGCAAATGTAAAATTTCTGGGTATTAAGGGCAAGAAGTTTTACTTTTTTAGATGACGTATTGAGTTTTAGCAGACACATTTTAAAGAAAATGTCAGTCAATGGTTTAAAAAATATATATGAGTTAAAAAGTCCTCCAGGTAGAAAGTATAGTATGTATTAAGTCTCTGAGTAGAGTTATGTCTGAAATATTGATGATGGCCAGAAAGGTTGGCAATAAAGCCATGGAGAAGATGTAAGATAAACAGTATAAGTCCTTACATGTTTACTGGCGATTTTAAATGTTTTACTTCAGTCAGTGAGGACCTACTGATTTAATAATCATCTAAAACTAAAATCATTACTTGATTGAATTTTTTAAAATATCACTAAACTCCTATATGGAGATGTGAATGGGAAATATAGTAGACATGTATTTATCAATTAAGTGTCTAAGGTGGTGTAATATAACAAACAATGAATGCTTTTTAAAAATTATATTTTGGCAATATAGACAGAAAATGATGGACAAATATAAGTGATATTAAGGGGAAGTAATGCAATTATATAAGGGTTGAGAGAGAGGTGAAGGGAGTTGTTAATATTTGTAAGTTTTCTGACCCAAGCAAATAAGTGCATGCTGATTGAATTTGCTGAAATAGGGAATATTGAAATGGATAAGTTGAACAAGAGACACTGTGTTAATGATTTGACAACAGTTTTGAACGTAGCATGTTGAGGTCCACTGGTTCATCTAAATTGAGATTTTGAGTATGTAACTAGTTATACAAATCTAAAACTAAGATGACAGGACAAGACTGAAAAATATGTATGTAAACACATATGATTTTTAATCAATACCCTAAGAATAAAAGCAATAACCTAGATAAATGGTATAGGTGGATAAGAAATGTATGGCCAGAAAACAAATTTGAGATCTTCTATTACTTGATGATTGACTTGCCAAACAAGAGTTGGCAAGAAAGATATGTAAGGAACACCAAGAAAGGTAAGAGGATGCCATGAGGAGCCTGTTATTCTTCTAGACTAGGGAAGAATGTGTTTAAAGATGAGTAGCCAGCTATACTAAATGCTGCTTTGCAGTCCAGTAGGTTAGAGAGTGAGGTCTACCCATTAGACTTAGTGGTACAGACATTATTGACTGTTTTCTTTGAGAGCATTATCTATAATATAAAGATAAGCTCAATAAGCAAGCCCCTGATCCCTCTGCATGAGGCTCTCATCATGTCTAAATAAAAGGTTTAGGGTATTTTAGACACAAAAATCAGAAGCAACTCAGAATATCAAATACATTCCACTTAAAAACAAATATATTCTTCCAAAACAAATGAACCACCGCCACCACCACCACCACCACAACAACAAAAACATCACTGGCCTTTTATTTGTTTCAAATGTTTCAAAGAAAAATTTCAATTTGTACACGTGCAAAAACAACAAAAACCCCAAACTAGGACTGACTAGAAAAAAATATTTCAAATTGTAATATTTACCAGAAATCATTATCAAGTCTAACTTGCCTAATAGTGTTATCCATTTTCACAAACTCTATTTCCAGCAGAATTCATAAGGAATTGGTGCAAACTGATGATAAAGGTCTCTTTCAGGGGGTTAGACTGTGTTGGATGACGCATAAAGGAATCATTTCAGTAAAAATAGGTAAACAATTTGGAATGTATTATTTTTCTATTATCCCTGGGGCATCATTTTAGTAGACGATTACAACCAAATGAATATTATCTTATAATTTTCTCATGAGCAGCAGAAGCTTTTATGTTAGCTCCAGATTGCTATTTATTCTCTAATGATATTTTACAGAATCCTATCAGTTCGGAGGAAAAGCTCAGGGGATCTTCAATGATAGCTAGGAGGTTCTTTTTGTTTTCTTTTTTCTTCAAATTTGCATATCTAAAATGCAAATATTTAATAGAATTGGTTAACGAGTTGTTATTTTCCGGTAATAAATGGAAAAATTGGGCTTAGGACATCAGGTCCCTCTCTTGCCTCTCTACAGTTTCAAGAAGTACTTGTCTTTGAATTATTTTCTGCCACCATCTCACTCAAAAAAAGCAGGCTACTTTCTTGCAGCACAGAGTTTACATGCCATTCCGTCATTTGAAATATCTTTAGCCTAATTTTTATAAATTATTCCTATTTAAAAATACCCAAGGCAACATTTCTACAAAAGTTATTCATTTTTTCAAAGCCAGAAAAAAGTCTTACTCCGTTGTTTTATGTGTACTAAATGCAACTTCAATTCCGTATGTAAGTTGTTCTTACAATTTCACTTAAACCTCGTCCTTTCTCCTGAAGTCAAATTAATTTTTGTAGTTTTGCTTGTTTGCTTTGTTTTATTTTTGGCATATTCTCCCATAACATCTTTTCCATTTGGGCCTCCATATCACTGGACTAACAGATGCAATTTTTCATGCTTCCTTGTGTTCTATCTTACTATCCTTTTGCTACATCCACTCCTAACCAAAAATCTTCAGCACACAAGAACTGTTTGTCACTAATTATTGTGTTACACTTGCTTGTGTACTTAAAAATGTAAAAAATAATTAGAAGTATAATTTTAGTTTTCATTATATGTAGAGAGATATAATGAGATATACACATATAGATAAAATGATATATATGTAATAGTAATACACACACACATGCACACACACAGGGTAGTTCTCCTTTATCCGTAGTTTTGCCTTTCTTAGTTTCAGTTACCTGTCAAATAAACTATTCATAAATTTAAAATTGTGTGTCATTCTGTGTATTGTTATAGTTGTTCCATTTTATTATTAGTTATCCTTGTTAATCTCTAACTGTGCCTAAATGATAAATTAAGCCATAGGGGGGAAAAACATAGTATATATAGTGTTTGGCACTAACTGCAGTTTCAAGCATTCATTAAGGGTCTTAAAACATATCCCTTTTGAATAAAGGGGACTGCTGTATACAGCAGAAAGCATTTCGCATACTCTTGTTCTTATTCTGTCTTCTTTTCCATATCTCTCCCAAAAAGGAGAGATACGCATCTCTTCTCTCTCCAAGATGTTTACTCCTATTGTATTATACTCCCATTTTCTTATTCTCCTTTTCAGTTTCTTAATCCAATTTATTCTGTGTCCCAAAATATAGTTTGCTATTATAATTTCCTCGGAGTCATTTTTATAATAGGACATTTATGAAACCAAGAGGATTTGATTTCAAAAACTTTCTCTGACACTACACAAATTTGGGTAAGTTGCTATTTATACTCCAAATTAACAAAATGAAAATAATAGTGCCCCTGTAGGGCATTACTTACATGAGTAAATTAAATTGATTCATAATTGATATTTGATAAATTATTATTAAATTTAAACCTGACAGTTTTCACATTTCAGATTTCTCTATTTCATATTACTTCAAGACTTCATTACAGGTATTAGGTAATGTAATTCTTCTTGTAATAGGGATATGAAGATTTCGTTTGTAGAGTTTCAATTAATCAAATGTCATATAACAAAGTTCATTTATTTCTTTAAACTAAAAATGGACAATATAGATTTCATTCCCATAAAAATAACTTAAATATATTATATGAGCAAGTAGCCCAGCTCTTCCACTTTCATCCTGCTGCCAACATTTTGTTGATGGCACTCAATTCTGTATGATACATAGATATTATAAGATGTAAGTGCAGCTGGCCTAGAGTGTGAGAAATGAAGCTGCTTCTGTTAGTTCCTATCCATCATGCACGTTGACATGACACATGTTACTCTCAGTGTGGACATGATTGGACATTAGCAGTAACTTATTTAGTATTATGTGGTGGTATGTTTAGCAGTGGAGGCTGCCTCAGCATCCAAGAATTTATGCAAGATATGAAAAACTAAAATAGAACATTTATTCTATACTACTGTATAGAGCTATGTATGTATTTTATCTAAACCAAATGTAATGTCACTCACCTGTTATTTTTTAATCCAAAGTCATACATCTATTTTTAAATTTTTTGACTTAATTTTTAAATGAGCTCAATAGTCATAGGCTACGCTTCTCCAAAACCTACTTAATTTTTCAATATGAGAGATACCTCTACTAAAATGGCCTGTTATGGTTTTCTTTAAACAAATTTTGATCTTGACAAACAATCTCACAATAGAGAAAACTTCGTTTTAAAAATGAACAAAATGTGTTTCTAATAAATGCATCCAGTAAATTAACCACGCTTAACATAGTTATAGTAATCTCTTTATTTTGCACATTGTAATCAGGATTTAGTTGAATTGCATGCTATTTAACAGACTGCACACCACCAATTCTTAGTGGCAACACAGCTGGATTCATTTTTCAGGATGAAAGATCATCCACTATAAACTTGCACTGCTGGTGAGACTGAAAAATACTCAGATGTAAGCTATAAATTGGCTAAAAGGGTAGATATTTCCTTGGCAACCCCTGTGTGGTATATTAAGCAAAACTGAAACATTTAATTTTAATTAGAATATTGAATTAGATTCTAAGTCAAATCTAGGACAGAGTTACAAAGGGAGCTGTCTCATTGTAGTTAAAAGTGTTCAAATGAATGTGCTGTACCCCAAATAGAACATTTAGAGAATTTCAACTAGAAAGCTATGATGGAAAGTGAATGATAAGAGATGCTAAAAATTGCCCCATGGGAAGAAAACTATGAAGGATTAAAATACTTCAAAAAGAATATAAGTGGACATTTAGATAATAATTTTCCATGCAAATCCAATAATACAACGTTTTAACATTGGTTTTTAAATAGTTTTTCTTAACTAGCCTAAATAATACAATCTTTAGTATGGTTAATATCCTTGATTTGGTAAACCTGCCTTAAGTACACATGAGAATCTAATTGATTGCATTGGACAGCTCTTGTAATCCTTTTCAAGTACTTTCATTCACACTACCTGCTTCTGCCAGTCTTGCAGCTTCTACCAGCTTCAGAACAACCTAACAGTTCTTTGCATTTGGCCCACAGCCACATAGCTCTTGCTTCCTTCTCTTGTGCTTCCTCGAGATAGAGAAATGAGATGCTGGGAGAATCCATTCAAGATTAAAATATGGACATTTTAGAAGTTCACGGCTACCTCTGAGACCCCATAACCAATAATGAATGGAAGTCAGTGGGTACTATCATTCAAAGAATGATGTACTGGTCCTGGATCAGTTGGCAGTCACCACAAAGGCTTCTTAAACTAATTTTCCATCTGTTCTTGTTTGATATCTTCTGTTACTCACTACTGCTTCCTAAAATAATTTCCCAAGTAAACAACTTCCATCTAAGCCTATGTCTTATAATGAATTTTCAGAGTTCCCAGGCTGAAATATATTTCAGAGAATAAGCAAAGACTTAAAAGAAATAGTTAAATTTCTTTTATCACCATAACAATTAGTGGTACTTAAAATATATGATAAATACCTTTTAATGTTTAGGCAATGAGTATATTATCTTCCGATATTCCTTCTTTTACATGCATCTAATTTATCTATAAATATCCAATGATTGTTTTGTGCATTGACAGTAGTCAGTTTCATCAGATTAAGGTAATTTATGTTCTTGTGCAAGCCATTGCAAATCAAAGATATTTATCAAGGTTGAATTTCCACAAAATCAATGTGGTAACATAGGCATGCTGCAGAAAATCCCTTTGATTGATAAAGAATGAAGGTAGTCGAGATAGTCATGGAATCTCCCAGTTGTATTGTACTACTTCCAAAATGAGAGTCTAACCTTTCTGGTTGAGCTGACTGTGTTTACTGTAGTTGTGATTATGATCATTGTGGGAGTCAATGATCCTCCTGAGGCAGCCACTGAGGTTTCTTGGTATATAGTTTTAATTTGTGGTATATTTCATTTGTAGTGTTTATTGAAGAATGACAGTGCTCAAGGCACTGCAACATACACTATTTTAAACGTATATAACAATGATTTTGGGAGATGATTCTTATACTTAAATAATAGAAAGAAAAAGGTAAATAATGTAACCATTTCACATTGGTAGAAAGCCACTGATTGAGATTCAAACATATATTTACCACTTCAGACCCAAGATATCTTCCCTTTTTCTTTGCTCTGATATAAGCTGGCTGCTATTCATTTCTAAGATACTCAAATTTTTCCAGAGCAATGTATTCTTTTGTAAGTTGGAATTCTGGTTCATAGTTTTGTTTCACCAATAAGTGATGGAAAAATACCCTATTCTGGCTCTACCAACTGTGTAGAGAATCATGATTTGTTGTTCCAGTTCACCTTGTACTTTTTATCACTAGTAACATTTAATAGATATATAACAGTAGTAATGGTACCCTATGTTTCCTATAGATAAATAATCATAAACTTTTTCTAATAATTACTATCAACCTTATAAACAATTGCAATTTCAGGTGACAGTAATTTCATGAAACGTTCTTTGCTTTTACATGTAGAGATAGTTGTGATCCCACTTGCATATCAAGCTCGTTAATTTATTCTGGAATCCAATATTTTCTTCCCAGTCAACTTCCTTGTCACCTGTTCTAACTGTCCTTTCATGTGAACTAACTTTCCTCACGTTATTGGTGCTCAAGGGGACACTATTCACTTAAACCTAATGAAAATGGCATCCTGTATTTGGGCAACATAGCCCGTGAATTCTATGGGGTTTGGTATTTTCTTCTGGAAAAATCATGTATCAGTTGGTGATTCTGATCTGTATTAGCCTGTTCTCACATTACTATAAAGAAATACTTGAGACTAGTTAATTTATAAGGAAAAGAGGTTTAATTGTCTCATGGTTTTGCAGGCTGTAGGGCAGCTTTTGCTTCTGGGAAGGCCTCAAGGAGCTTTTACACATGGCAGAAGCCAAAGCAAGAGCAAGCATGTCACATGGCAGGAGCAGAAGCAAGAGAGAGGAAGGTGGGAGGTGCTACTAACTTGTGGGATCTCACTATCACAAGAACAGCACCAAGGGGATGAAGCCAAACTATTCATGCGAAACCGCCCCCAAGATCCAATCACCTCTCACCAGGCCCAATTTACAACATTAGGGATTGCTATTCAATGAGAGATTTGGTGGGGACACATATCCAAGCCATATTATGCATAACTACATACCCATTGATAATATCAACTTTCTGAAGAGGGAATTACGATGAAGCCCTTAAAGTTTTATTTCAAACTCATTCAATTTACATTATATTTAACAATATGTTTATAAAATTTTAAGTATATGGATGGTAACTTTGCTAGCTTACAGTTCTTATTTTGTATCATTTATACATTTGTTGAAGATATAATATAGCAGAATAAATAAGTTCATTTACAATGTAACTTACTCAAAGAAGTTTTTCTTCAGGCATAATTTTGTCAAATATACTTATTGTCACTGTTCACTAGGCTGTCTAGGAACTTCTCTCAGTTTTTAGACAGAATGTAGTATTCAGTTGCTTTTTCTTTCTTAGGACCAAGCTGAACTATCTACAGACTTCAGATCATAAGCCACTGCATTAATGTTGTTTTAGCACTTGACATCCAGAAATCAAACTGGAAAGATGGTGGCATAAAAAATAGTTAATGCCTGTACAGAAATTCCCAGTGAGGAACAAAACAGATAGAATCAAGAGTAGAAGCATTAACAGAAAATATGACAAATTTAAAGAATATTTAAAGAATACATGGAAGTATACTGCTAGGTAGAGATTATTAAAAACTTTTTGGGGGGATCCCTTTTGTCATCCACAGAGATGAAAACCAATTTTTTATTCTGGTTGTGATGAGAAAACGAATGGAGGGCAATCTTGAGAACCACACTTAAAAGAACAAAGGCGGGCAAATGTGACGATATAAGAAAGATTTTGGCACCTGCCATCTAGTCATGTTAGCTAATACAATCAAATAGCATACTGATGCATTAGGGATGGAGCAAGAAATGATAAAATATAGTTGTAATATAAGTTTTTTCTACCTCTTAACTAAAATATTGCTTAGTGAGGAAATAAGAGACATAGAGAAGAGATCCATTTACTTGAAAATAACTATAGTCATTGAAGTTTTCTAGAACCCAAATTCTCTCCAGTGAAGATGAGTTTCCCCTAATCTGGAAGCAGAGAACCTCTCTGGAAATTAGCAAAGGTCATGAGACCACCTCTGTAAGCAAGCACTACATCAGTGTGAACAAAATTTACCACAACATTTACCAGAAAGACAACTATTTTAAACAAAAAAACCCTTCAGATATAATGGTAGTTCATAACAGACTAATTTAAAAATTAGAAAACTCTTTGAAGAGAAAATACTCAGCTACCAATTTGCCAGCATGATATACCTTGGCCAAACTTTTTAGCCCCAATCATTTCATTTCTGCACTTCTGAAAGTATATATTCTGATTAACTGAATTATATTTTTACCTCTGTAAGATTCAGTTTTCTTATAGGTAATCAAAAAAATGATAGTACTTATTTTACAGGCTTGTTGGGGTTAATCCATATGTTAATGCATGTAAAGCAGTCAAAGCAAGGTTAGGCATACAGTAAGCACTTTATAAATGAAGTATACACAGGCATATGACCAAAGATATTTATCATTGTCAATGAGAAAAACTAATAGAAGTATGAATGTGCTAAAATAATAAGTGAATTACTTATATCTATCTTACATGTATATGTTGTAATAATGTGCAGTAGTTAAAAAAGATATTTATTTAATTTATTGACATAAAAATATGTCCCTTTTAAACTGTTAAGTAAATGAAATTAGTCAAAAAGTATTATAAAGTTTTCTATCATTCTAAACATATGCCTATACATTTGCATGTATGCATGCATGCATATATATATTATATATATATGAAGTTTTGAAGTTTGCATGACAATATTTGATTCTGTGTTTTTTTCTTAGTTGGTGTATAACTCAGACTTCTTTATATCTTTAATTTTGTGTGTGTGTATATTTACAATGAGCATGTGTTTTCCTTTAAATTACAAGAAAGCTACTTGGGTTTAATTTAAATTAAATTAATAATAAAAAAATATCATTCTTTGTCTAAAAATTGGCACAGATATACAAACTAGAGTGATTAAAAGCAGTCTATAAAACAGTGCACGAGGATTAAATTTGCGTTATGTACTAGGATACCATCTCATTAAGAAAACTTTTTCATCATACAATAAAACATTCTGGAAATAAGTGAATACGGAGGGAAAATGTACATTCACGGCCAAAATGTTCAGACAAAGCTGGAGAATTTAAATTTGGTAAAAACAAAAAAAAATCCAGTCAGAATACCAGGTTACCAGCAGGCTTATTGCACAAGAGCAGAGTCCAAACTTCTATAGCCTTGGCATGTAAAGCATTTCAGATGCTGAGATGACAGAACTGCTCATAAAACCATCTGCTATTTCCTGATCCATCTGTTGGTCAGCATAGAGCCATCTGAACTCAAAAATTTTTTGGTCTCAGAAATAGCACAATTGCCATTTTTTTAAGTTGGAAAATAACAGTAGTGACTTTCAGAACAGTATTTTATTACAGTAGACCACAAAATACTCCTAATATTTTGGCTACAAATGCTTACAATTTGTACTCTTACATGATTTATAATTAAGAAAATCTAGCACTGCATTATGCCTATAAATACAAACATATGTATAAAGATATTAAGTTAAAAGCTTAGATATAGGTTAATTAACAGTAAATATTTCACAAATATATTTCACAAAGAAAAATATAAAAAGGACCAATAAGCACATAAAACAGCAAAGACTATAGACTCTCAAAATCCAAATTAAAGCCATATTGAGAAAGATACTCATAGAATGGCAAAAATAAATATAAATACTAACAACATCAATGGTTTTCAAAAATAGAGAGCAAACGGAAGTATGAAACATTGCTCTTGGAGATATAAAATGGTATAACAACTATAAAAATAATTTTGCAATTCCCTGAAAAATTAAACATTCACCTACTATATTATTCACCGATTTTACTCCTAAAAAATTAAGTCCACACAAAGACTTGTAATGAATATTCATGGTAGTTATACATAATATGAAAAAACTTGGGAAAAAAGCAACATTCAAAAGTAGGTGTATAGATAAATTGCGGTGTATTTACACAATTGACTACTATTCAATAATAAAATGAGGAAGACTACTGATACATACAAAAACATAATATGCAGTAGTATTTTGTTGATTGAAAGAAACAAGGCATAGAAAAGTATGGATTGCCAAATTTCATTTACACAAAATTTAAAAACAGTCAAAACTAATCTATGGTAACACAATGCTATATGAAGAGAGGTTGACTGTGGTGGTGGGTGGGTGGAGGTTACCGTAAGAGTGGGAATTGACTACAAGGAGGCATGAGAACTTTCTCAAGAGATAGAATTGTTTTAGATATTGATTTCAGTAGTGGCTACACAGATGTGTTTGCTTGCCAAAACATGTCTACTTGTATAATTAAGAATTGCACATTTTACTGTATAAAACTTAACAACGTTTTTTAAAGTTCCTATTTTGATCACTCTAGATACCGTCTAAAACAAAAAGACTCCTATGCACAAATAAAAAAAAAAGTGACCTTTTCTATTGCTACAGAATGAAAACACACAAAGGAACATATGTCAGTTAGGGGAAATAATGTTAGTTAATGTACCCAAAACCCATAATTTCACTGATGTAATAAAAGTTTATTTCTCATCCATATAACATAAAAAAATATAGCCAGATGTCTCCCCTAAGGATTTTGATTCCAAGCTCAGTCTTAGTTATCTTGACTCCTCTCCTTTTATCTTGTAGCTCTGGTATCCGAAATTATTTCTTTCAACTGAAGAAATGAGAGCTTGGTAACACATGATAGAGGTTAGTCTTGAAATTGATATAAATCACTTCTGTACCTTATATTGGCTAGATTTAATTATATGACATATGGATAATTATATATAGATACAGATACCTGTACAGATATAGATAGATAGATAGATAGATAGATAGATAGATAATGTAGACAGAGATTAATATAGATATATAGGAAGAGATAGATCAACATATAGATAGCCCAGCAAGGGAAGCTAGATATATAACTTTAATACATATGCCAGAAAGAGAAAAGGGAGAATTTAGCATCTAACGCTTCTCTACCAAAGAACATACTACTGCTTTTTTACAATGCTCACATTAGAGAGTAATAAAGCACATATGTAGCCTTGTTCTAACTAAGAAATGTCTTTTCTACAAATGTGTAATTTGTAGCAAATATTTTGATCAGTGCAATAGAATAAAATAAACAAACTTAAAAACCTTGTTTATGAAGAATTGGCAACAAAAATTATTTAATGTGAATTTAAAGCAATTCAAAATGTGGAATGCATTAAAAAATAATCATATAACTCAAATGTCCAGTAATTAAGAATCTGTAGGTGGTAAAGATTTCATATTAGTATATACATCTTAAATCAGAAACAGATGGCCACTGTTGTTTTACTGCCAATCATCTGACAGGCATCTATTCCATATCCTGAACCCCAAAGTCCCCACTGCTACTTTGTCATTACTTCTTTGTAAAGGGCAATGCTGCCTAGAGTGCCTCCTCTAAGGAATAAGCTGCAAAAGATTTAAAGAGTTATAAATAGTGCTTCATTGCTTTCAATACTCACAAACCAAGGGCTACCCTACGTTCAACTCAAATATGTTAATTTCTCCATAGAGCTGAAAACTCATAGGACCATGTACCAAAGACAAGATGTTAGG
This sequence comes from Homo sapiens, assembly GCF_000001405.40. NCBI lineage: Eukaryota > Metazoa > Chordata > Mammalia > Primates > Hominidae > Homo > Homo sapiens. The sequence continues at coordinate 102,518,768 of NC_000006.12, read as the reverse complement.
ATAATCTTTGCATATCCTTTTCATGATTGTCTTTCAGCCTAGAAACATATGCATTAAACTTTTCCTCCACTATTTCCTCATCATATGTAAATAAGTAGTGGCTGGTAAGTTGATCAATACTGCTGATTTAAGATTAGTCAGAGCCATCCCACTAAACTAATAAAATTCCTGCTATAAGATATGGAAAATAAACAAAACATATAGGGAAGGACTTTTAAAATAAAATAGATAATATCAAAATAGAAAATATTATTTTAGTTATATGGTTTTAGGGTTTTCACCAGCTACAGAGTGAAAAGCAAATGAGACCTTATAGTATTAGCAGACTTTAGGCCAATCATTGTGTGTGTGTTTGTTTGCATATAAGTGTATGCATTAAATGGTACCTACAATATGTATTCATATGTAAGTAAATTTTATGTAGGTTAAGTGCTATACATACACTACCCAGTAGAAATTCTTAAATGTTTAACTAATGTCTGTAACAATAATTATTGCAGATAGTGATTGAGATAACAATCTGAACCGAAGGCTCTTTATTAAAATTAACATGCTGGCGCTCAGAATGTGAAGAATATTTGTAACATTTTTCCACTGCATATAAAAATATATATGTGTTGTGACAAATTATAAGACATGTCACAAGTATTTGCTATTGTTAATAAGATCACTATAAAGACTAAATATTTTAAATAAGCATATTCCATTTGTCACATTTTTGTTGTTATTTTAAGTTTTAGGTAAGAAATAGTCATAAAGGGTAACAAAATATGAAAGAGTTAAGAATAACTTCTATACATATAATTACTTTAACGAAAGTTATTTACCTAAACATATGATGACCATTACATTTTCTTTTGTTTCATCTAATTTTAATTGAAATAAACTATTCAGTAGTATCTTGCTTGGGTTTGTACCAAAACCTGCCTTTTTCTCAAGAAATACTATTTCATATTTAACCACTAACGTGGAGTACGTGATTTTCCTTTTCCAGCATGCTATTGTTGTTTCTATGATTTAGATCTAGTCTCATTTGAGATCCTCCATTATAGCTGGACAGCAACTTTCTAGTTTGAATCTAGCTGACCACTTCTTAATATAGACATACCCCTTTGTGCTGTTCCCGTTGCATCAAACTAACTTCACATGCTTAACATTACTTTTTCTGATAAATAATTTTGACTTGGCTCTGTACAGTATCTGTTCTTAAGTAGCATAAAATAGAAAGATTAACAGCCTATAATATAGTTTTTTTGTTTTATTTTGCTTTGTTTTAAATATTAATGGTTATTTTCACTATTTCATTCATTCAATCAGGTAATAAAAAATTCATTTTCTAATCTAACTTTCAGTTTCATTATTCTTTAAATGTAAAGAAAAACAAATGTTGTACATTTTCATTAAATTAAAACAGTGTTTTCCAAAGTTATCATTTTCTATTGGATTTGTAGTTTAATTTACACATGATGAAAACATGATTTTCAAATGGAAAGTGACTTTATAAGAAGAAAATCTAAAATCAATGTGTAGCCATTCAGTTTGGCGATTATAGCAGAAAATGAAAATTTCAGACTGATTTTCTTGGAAATAATTTTAAAGAGACAGAAAAGATAAGAAATAAAAGTCTTAAGTTCATTTTCAGTGAAACAAGGAAACAGCTAAAGCCTAACACTATGATTTAGGTTGGAATCTCACGAAACACAGTACAAATCACTGAGCAGTGTTCCTTTGGGAAGAAACAGAGAACTATCAAGGGACAGAAGATACTTTGCTTCAAAGTTCAGAAATAGCCAGTAAAACTATTAATTATATTTGTCAACAGTGGCAGATACGACGTGAGTCACTAAACCTACTGTGTGTGTATATGTGTGTGTGTGCAGATTGCAACAATGGGAACAGTAAATACAGACTATAGTATGGATTGGAGTAGGCAGAAGATTCTCTGTGTAAAGTGAGATTCTCAGAAGTATAAATCTATAAAATATTCCATAATAATTTTAAAAAGAGAATCAATAAATCTCCATGACAGAAGGATAATGTATAAAATTGTTGCCAAGAAGCAAAGAAAATTCTGGCCCAAAACATTGAAAACAAAAATAAATACAATAAAAAAAGACTTAATTGAATAATCATCTTTATGAAGCCGTGGTGGCACAAAAGCAAGATACAAAACCTCAGGGAATTGACTGCAGGGCAGCAAGACATGAAGAAATGTAAGTAGGAAGAGCTAAGGATAGCAAAGAAAATATTGCAGTACTGGAGGTAAAACTGGAAGAGCAAGGTACATCAGCCACTGTTCAAATAGTAATAATGAACTTTATAAAGGTTAGAAACAAGGCAATCAAGTACAGTGAAAGACAAATAAAGAGATAAAAGTCAGCCGAGAAAATAGAGTTAAAAATTAAAGAAGGTTCAAAGCATTGAAGTCCTCAAAAAAAAAAAAAAGGTAAAGATAAAATATTTAAAATAAAGCCTTCTGGTGCATATTGAAAAGATGTAGAGCCCAAGAGAAAACTAGCCCAAAATTGTGAACTGTGGCTATAATATAGTAAAGTTAATGAACTCTAATACATATAAATAATTCTTTGGGAAGCCAGGCCAAAGAGAAAATATTTTATAAGAGGAAAACACACCGTGGCCTCAAATTTTTCATAGCAATATTTAGTACGAGATGACACTGAAGCAATACCAACAAAATTCCTAGGAAAGGAAGCATGATCTGAGAATTTTATACAGTTTAAATGTCCCTTAAAAATGGAGGCAAATAAAATTATTAACACACTGGAACTAAGAAAATACTGTATTGCTCTAATAAACCTTACTCAATATACCAAGTAGCTTTAACAGAATATATGTGTTACAGTCTCTGAATATATAGAAATGAAATGATTAACATAAATTGAGAAGTAAGTGGCAAATGAAGTTTAAATGGGAAATGAAGTAAATATGTTAAATTTATTTTCATTTATAGCTGAAGTACAAGGATATCATTTAAGATAAAAAATGTATGTGTGGATACTTTTAAGATTAAGAAGAAATATATTCATGACTAAAAATCACAATAAAATTTAATAAAATTAAATGATAGAGTACAAAGTGGAGTAGGAAAAGAGATTTACTAATGCTATAATTGGTTATAGTAAGAAAAAATAATTACTAGAACAAAAATGCAAACCTTCCTAAATAACAAAATAAATAAGCACAAATGAAGAAAAACAGAAAACATCAAATTGTTGAATGTTTTTAAGTATAAAATTAGAAAGTAGAACACAAAATAACATTGTAGAAATAATGTAAATATAATTCTTAATGCATTAAATTGACCTATTATAAGATGAAGACTTGCATTTTTCTGAACAAAAGTAAATCTATAAACCATATACAAACATGTCTAAAGAAAAGCGATACATAATAATTGAAAATAAAATGTTTGCTTTTCCAACTATACACTCAAATTTAAAAGCAGCAAAAAAGTAAAAGCCAAATTCTACTACATTAAAACAGCATTAAACAGAATAAAACACCTATTTTCAGTGTCAGACATTGAAGAGTAATTATCACTTGTGTCACAAAAAATAATAATTAACCATAGTATATAAAAAACTCTTAAAATAAAGAAGAAAAACATGATCAGATGGACCAAACACATGGACATTTTATATACACACACATGCATACACAACCCTGCCCCTTACTTGAAATTGCAAATGACCCTGTTAGGCTGAAAGTGCACTGCTAAATGTGTCCAATTCCTAATTCACTGATTTTGCAAATATTATACCTAAATGGCAAAACAGACTTTGCAAGCTGGGATTAAGTTAAGAATTTTAGAGATGAGCAGATTATCCTGAATTATTACAGTAGGGCCAATGTAAAAATGATTTTTATAAGCAGATGACAAAAGGGTCAGTGCAAAAGAAAAAAAAAAAAAAGAGAGAGATACGGCACCAGAAGCAGAGGTCAAACAAAGAGAAAGGTATTTAAGTTCTAAACTTCTGTCTTTGAAAGTAAAGGAAGTAACCAACATCAAGGAATGCATAATCTGGACATTTACAATCTGGAAAAGGCAAACAATACCAAAAACCACACACACACACACACACACACACACACACACACACACACAACTTTCCTGTACCTTCCAAAAGAAACATGGCCCAGCTGAGACTGTGATTTTAAGATGTTTGACATTTAGAACTGTAAGACAATAAATGTACGCTGTTTTAAGCCAATAAGTATGTAATAATTTGTAACAGTAGCTATAGAAAATTAATGCAATCAACATATTTTTGAAAATTTGTTCTTCAAAAGATGTCAATTTAAAAAATAAAATAAACTATAGAGTGGGATAATAAAATACTAGTGTGTAGAATGTATTGTGACCTCTAACTAGTCCCTATTAGGAAGATAAACCACCAAGATATGAAGATGCCATCACATACTAGAATTGCTATAACCCAAAAGCATAAAATACTAAATGTTGGAAAAGAGGTGCAGAAACTGAATCCTCATATATTATTGATGGAAAAGTGATTTTTCAAAGAAAAGTAAAATATACACTTGTCATATAATTATTTCCACTAGGTAACTTATCTGAAAGGAGTAAAAACATAGGTCCACACAAAACTTGTTCACAGCAGAATTATTCATAATAGCCAACAAATAGAAACTTTCAAAACGCCTGTCAGCTGGTGAATGGAAAACAAAATGTGATATAACCATTCAGAAGTAAAAGTATGAACTACCAGTATGTGCAAAATTACAAAATCCCTATGGAGGACAATTTGACACTGTAGCAAAATTACTGAGTAATTTGTTCCTTAACTTAGCGTTAACAAATAGAAAAAATATACTAGATACTGAGACATCAACACTAGTTACAAAAGAGAAAAAAAGGGACATGTATACAAGTTTCGTTTTATGCAGCATTTTTTATAATAGCCAAAGCTTGAAAATAACCCAAATATCTAGCTGAGGAGGAAATGATTAATAAAATATAACAAAGTATTATGTTGACATAAAAAATGAGCAGAATCCTTGTGAACTGATAAAGAATTCCCTAATACACATGCACACACACACATATTAAAATTCTGACTTTTAAAACTATACTTTTGAAGTAATAACAGAAACACATATTAGTGTTTATTTGTGTGGGAGTGTAATTGAAGAACAAGAAAACAATAAAATGTTTAGGGACTGCTGTATATAGTGTATATATGGCATTTTATAAAATGTAATGCATTAACCAACAAGCAGAAAGTAAAAAGACATTACATTCATTAAAACAGAGTAAAGCTGAAAGCTGACTTCTTTACAAAAGTAATAGATGAGGAAAAATTAAAATAATATATTTGAACTGTTGCATATATATCTTAATTAATATTGTTTATGTAAAAAATAGAGAAATATTTGGGGATGGGGATAAAGTGATGAGGGGCCACACATAAAATAAAGGTCACAAACTCAGTATGATTAAAGATAATCCAACTAAGACCAGAGACAAGGCAAGGTTGTCTTCCCTCACTGGTGCTTTTTAATATTATACTGGAAGTCCCAGTTAATACAGTAAGACAAGAAAAGGAAATAAGAAGTGCATATGTCAGCAAGGAACAAATAAAACTGTTATTGTTTAAAGATGCCATGATTATCTATACAGGAAATTTTAAAGAATTAACAAAAAAAAAATCTCCTGGAACTGATAAGCAATAATGGCAAATTTGCAGACTAGAAGATCAAGACAAAATTCAATCACTTTCCTATATGCCAGATATTAACAGATAAAATGTGATATTAGAAACACAATACCATTTGTATTAGAAATCAAAATATGAAATACTTAAGTATAAATCTAACAATATATGTACAAAATGTCTACTGGAAAAATTATGAAACTCTGATGAAATAAATCAAAGAAGAAATAAATAAATGGAAAGATATTTCATGTTCATCAATATGAAGACCCATTATTGTCAGGATATCAGTTCTTTCCAATGTATTTTATAGATTTAATATAATATCAATAAAAATTTCAGCAGTTTATTTTGTGGATATCAACAAACTGATTCTAAAGTTTATATAGAATGGGAAAATATCCAGAACAGCAATCACAATATTAAAGAAGAATAAAGCTGGAGGACTGACAGTTCCTGACTTCAAGTCCTGTAACAAAGCTACAGTAATGAAGACAGCATAGTATTGGTCAAGGAATAAGCAGATTAATGGAACAGAATATAACTCAGAAGTAGATCTACATAAAAGTAGTCAACTGGTGTATGATAACGGAACAAAGGCAATGCAATGAAGCAAAAATAGTCTTTTCAACAAATTGTGCTGGAACAAATAGATATCCATACACAAAATTTAATCTTGATATAGACTTTACGTTCTTCAGAAATAATTGAAAATGAATTGCAGACCTAAATGAACAATAAAAATTCTAGAATATAACACAGGAAAAATATAGATGACCTTACATTTGGTGATTACTTTTTAGTTACAACACCAAAGGCACAATCTAAGAAAAAAATGAGTGATAGGGCATGCTAAAACTTTGTCAAAATTAAAAATTTATGCCCTGCAAAAGACACTGTCAGGAGAATGCAAAGACAGGCCACAGCTTGGGAAAAATATTTGCAAAACATGTATCAATAGAAGACTGTTTTTTAAAACAGACAACTCTTAAAACTCAACAATAAGAATGCAGACAACACAATTAAAAAATAGGCCAAAGACTTTAACAAATGTCTCATCATTGAAGATATACAGATGGCAAATAAGTGTATGAAAATATGCCCCCACTTATATGTTACCAGGAAAATGGTAATTAAAACAATGAGATACCACTACACACCTATTAGAATGGCCAAAATCCCAAACAGTGGCAACATCAAATTCTCTCTGTTATGTGTATGGACAGGATCGCTCATTAATTGATGGTGCGAATGTAAAATGGTACAACCACTTTAGGAAACAGTTTGGTGTTTCTTACAAAAACAAATATACTCTTACCATACTCACCTGCAATTGTGCTCCTTGATACTCATAGGAGTTTAAAAGCCAATGTCCACCCCAAAACATGCACATGACAGTTCATAGCAATGTTATACATAATTGCCAAAATGAAAGCACTCAAGATGTCCTTCAGCAGGTGAATGGATAAACTGTGGCACATCCAAACAATAGAATGTTATTCAGTGCTAAAAAGAAATGAGCTATTGAGCCATGAAAAGACATGGAGGAAACGTAAATGCATATTAATGAGTGAAAGAACAATCTAAAAATGCTACCTACTGTGTGATTCCAACAATATGACATTCTAGAAGAAGCAAAACAATGAAAACAATAAAAATATTACTGGTTGACAAAGATTAGGGGAAAGAAAGAATGAGTAGGTGAAGCACAGAGCATTTTTAGAGAAGTGAACATATTCCATATGACACTAGAATGATAGATTGATGTAATTATATATTTGTTCAAACACATAGAATATATGACACCAAGAGCGAACCCTGATATTGTCTATAGAACCTGGTTGATTTTTAAAAATTCAGTAGTTACCTAGATCTTTTTTGGATAAACTTACAAATAAATAGGATACCTCTAAAAGGGGAGCTGTTTGACAATGTCAAACATCTGGAAGATAGTGTCAAAGGATATCTTGAAGAATGGCAGAAATCAAATTTATGAGAAATTTGCTTGTCTGTAGTTTGGTTCAGAGTCATCGGTATATGCACATTTTGACTACAAAAATTTTATGTTCAAGCATAAAAATGTTAATAGTAAACTGAAGTCTATGTAAATGTGGATATTATAAGAAAAGTATAATTAGGATAACTCAGTTTCTAACTAGTGACACATATCTTGCCTATATATGCAAGCACTTAAAAATAAGGAAGTGTAACATGAAGAAGCAGCATTATCTTCTGGGGATAAAAATAAATATGAAATTAAGAAAATATCAATAAAATTATGAGAAAGGAAATTACGAAGCCTGTGAATCTTTTTCTCTTGATTACAAGAACTGTTTTTTTTCTGTTTTCTATTTCAGAATATCACCAGAAGTTATCAAGGTAAACTGATCAATCACTTTAGAGTCGCTCAGTAGAAATTTAACTTACTAAATTATACCTCGAAGTTTTCTGTGTTTTCATGAAATGTGTAAAGTCTACTTTTTAACAAACTTTCTCCCTTAGTAAAGCAAACAAATACAAAGAAACACCTTTAAAGATATATATTCTAATACAAATCTTTTAAAAATTAAAGTCATTCCTCATGATCTCTGATCTTTACTCCCCACATTATCAAGTTTAAGTTTTATAGAATGGTTTCTCTTTTTGATTTTTCTGTACCCCCGATCAATACTCTCTCAAAAGTTCTATTAATAACATTTGGACTAGGACTTGAATGCTAATATACTACTTCTTTTTAATTGTTAATGCCAAAGAGTATGAGATCCATTGTTATTTTTTGTGCTACTAATAATTATTTGCATGCCATCTATTGAAGGTTCAGGTCAATTTTGGAGATGTTACAATGCCATAAAACAATAACAATAATAACAGTAATTATAAAAGCTATATGTTTCTTAGAATCAATAAAGAACCATATAAGTTGAAATGTACTTTCCTGTAAATCTGTCTGACAGATACTAGGATTTGCAGAAGAAAATATGTTAATTAATAACAAAACTTAGGAAATAATAGAAAAGCTTAAAACTAAAAGAGAATATCAGATGATAGCATAAAATTAAATATTTTTACACATACAAATCAATGCAATTATATTGTTCAGAAAAAGCAACTCTTTCTTTTTTTTTTTTTTTTTTTTTTTGAAATGGAGTTTCGCTCTTGTTTCCCAGGCTGGAGTGCAGTGGCGTGATCTCGGCTCACCGCAGCCTCCACCTCCCAGGTTCAAGCAATTCTCCTGCCTCAGCCTCCCCAGTAGCTGGGATTACAGGCATGTACCACCACGCCCGGCTAATTTTGTATTTTTAGTAGAGATGGGGTTTCTCCATGTTGAGGCTGGTCTTGAACTCCTGACCTCAGGTGATCCACCCGCCTCGGCCTCCCAAAGTGCTGGGATTACAGGCGTGAGCCACCACGCCCGGCCAACTTTTTCTAGCAAATTTACATCATCATTGCACATTAGTAACATATTTATATAATTATTTTCTGGAAATGTAATCAAATTAAAAGATCTATCTCAAATTATAAAATCAAAAAAACTTCCTTTGATGACAAATTTTCATTCTTTTATCCATAATGTATTTTTTCTGAAAATCATAAGCAAATGCTCTATTTTTATAATTTTAAAGGAAATTTAGTCATTTAAATATTATAGCAGTCATTCTTTTCTTAGCTATTTGTGATAATTTATAAAAAAAGAATTCCAAGAAAATAGATCAGTTTATAGAATCTCTATTAATATATCTTTATTTGCTGTAACCACTCTGTTTTCATTATGGACCTTTATTCTTTGCTTTAATATCTGATAAGTCAAACCATTATCTTATGCTTGTTAATATTTCAAAAAAGTATATGTTACTATTTCACATTTCCTCTTCCATATCATTTATTCCCAAGTGTCTGAAAAGCTCATTCAAGAACATGGTATGTCATTGCACTTATGTAAATATACACTAAGGTCTTTAGTAATAATTTTTTCTATGATTTTATACTTTCTATTATATTTTTATTCAATGTTTATAAACATATTGCTATATTGAAAGAAATCTTTCTTTATACAGTCATGTGCCACACAATAACATTTCAGTGAATGATGGACAGCATATACCAAGATGATCCCATAAAATTATAATATTGTATTCTTACTGTAACATTTTTATGTTGAGATATGTTTAGATATGCAAATACTTATCATTGCATTATAATTGCCTAAAATATTCAGTACAGTAACATACTGTGCAGGTTTGTAGCTTAGGAGCAATAGGTTATACCATATAGCCTAGGTATGTGGTAGTCTATACCATATACCATCTAGGTTTGTGTAAATACACTCTGATATTCATACAGTGATAAAATTGCCTAAAAATGCATTTCTCAGAAGGTACTCCCATTGTTAATTGATACATGGTTGTAATTATATTTTCATACTGGTTATTAGTGAATTTTTTTGATTTTCATATATTGGTTTTGAATTAGGCCACATTTCTGATACCTCATATTTGTTATCATATATTCTCTGAGAGTTTCTAAGTAAAATTGAATATTATTTGTGAATGTAAATATTGTTCCTTGATTTCTAAAATATGTAACTAAATTATTTGTCATGTTTTATAGCTTTGAATACAAATAAAATATTGTTGACTTTATTTCGTGATGCTTCTCATTTTTTATTATGTATAATGATTATTATAAGTTCTGTTTAAATATGAATTTATAGGTTGAAGAAGCTTCTTCTTATCCTATTTTTAATAAGGTATTATTTTCATCAGAATGGAAATTAACATGTATCAAATTGTTTTTGCATCTATTTGTTTATCTGTGAGGGTTTTATTTTAGTTTAATCTGTTAACTCATTTATAAAATATATAATTTCTGATTGAGAACCTTTATACATCCCTTCAATAATATGTTCTTTATAATAAATTCCTTCAATAATATGCCATTATTACAGATATGGTCATAAATTTATTTTTTTCTAGTTTTCTTTGTTAGTTTTAGTAATACTTTGTAACGATTTCTATTTATACAATTTGTGACTTTAATAATACATGGGATTATTTATTTTTAAAATTTGGTAGTTACACTTTAATATTAGTTTATTCTCTTAATTTTTCTCTTTGCAGAATTTCTAATTTTTAACCAAAGTTATTTATATTTTCTTAATAAAACAACTTTTGAATATGATTGCAAAATTACATAAATAAAATAATACATTAATTTTTAAGTTTTAATTTTTCTCTGTATTTCTACTTGTATATACTTAATTATATGTTTGTGCTTTTTGGCACAGTATATTTTTTGTGTCTTCTCACTATTATATGTGCCAGAATTATATTGATGTTATTATTTATTTTAATGAATTGAGTTATATTTCAAAGATTTACTGAAACTCAGAGGTTTTCTACATTTTTTTTATTAAGTTCTTCCTTATGCTTTCTAGCCCCTGGAGTCAACAACTCATTGTTATACTACTGGGACACTGTCAATCACTGAAGTCCATACTTGATGGCATAGCCTATGAACAAAAGCCACTGCTGTTTTTTGCTCATTACACATAGCATTCTCTCTGTGTCTATGAAGTAGAATAACAATCATTCCACTGAAACTACTTTAAAACATATATAATCCTTTTTCCCCAAGGTTCATTCCCACTGTTTGTTTTCTCAACTCTTTAGTTGATTCTGAGTCTACAACTGACTCAACATTATTCTTTATGTACAGTCTCATAATAGCCTTCTGTAATGGTACTCTCCTGTGTGAGAATTGGTGTGTGGTTTTCTCCAGTTATTTATTTATAGATCTTCTATTGTTTGCTTTCTATTTTTCAGGGATTTTCCCAGTTTTTAGGCCAACACGTATACGTAATGCTGTCACCTAAGATTGTTATTGACTTAGCATTTACAAAAAAATATGTTTCTCATTTCATAGGATTTGAGCAAGTAAATCTGTGTTTAATGGATCATGTTGTCTCAATCTCTCACATAGAGTTTATATGCTATAACAATAACATAAACATTCTCTATGCTTTAAAATATTCTTATGTAAGGTAAATTTCAATCACTACCAACTGAGTAATTGCAATAAGCATAATATATTTTATTTAATCAATTTTTCATTATTACATTTAATATGTTCCATCAATCATATAAGATGGAACACATCATAAGATATATAACATATCTAATTTTATAAGTGCTTCAAATAAATTATCTTACACAACACATTTCACATATTTTAAATGGTTCATCAGAGTAAAGATCTACCAGCAGAAATGCTGAATAAAGGATATAAGTATCTGAACATGTTTAAATATATATCAGATATGCTTTTATGTTTTTATTCCTAAAAATCTCAGATGTTATAATTTATTACAACATTTAGATTGCTGTTTTAATTTTAACTCAGCATAACTTATGGGACCAATATTTATAGGAATGTTTCCTTAACCATCTAATAACTTTGTCTATTATTGTCTCACTGAAACTATCTAATAAACACAAAAAATACCCCAACACACACACACGCGCGCGCACACGCACACACACACAAACACACATATGAATAACATATTGTATCTTCAATGTTTGTCATTAATGCTTCCATATTTAACCCAGTTAAGTTTAGGAAAATAATATTTTTTCATCCTCTTTGGTTTCAAGTGTCACATGTAGACTATAGAAGGATCTGTGAAGATGTTCAATAGGAAGCACCAGGAAGCAATCTCTCTACTAAGACAATAATTGCGCTAGCAGAATCTGTCTGATGTAACCAACTTGGAACTCTGGACTCTATTGAAAACTTCCAACTCCTAGGGGAAGGCTTGAGATGTAAATTGTGGTTAGTTTACTCAATTTCAATTCTTAGCACTGTAGTAACTCCCCATCCCCGTCTCCCTAGCTCCATGACAAGGAGCCATGCTTTCAGCTATAGTATTTTCAGCTATGGAATTTTGATTTGGTTTCTTTTTAGGTTTTCTATTTTTTAATTAATATAAACATTGTAGTTATACATCATTTTCTTCACTTTCTCCATGTCTTCCTCTAGTTATCTGAACATCTTTAAGACAGTAGTTTCCAAAGTCTTTCCCTAGAAAATGTGTCATCTGATCTTTGTTGGGGAACTTTTCCATTGATTTATATTTTTTTTCCTTTGATTGGTCCGTGCTTTCTAGTTTCCTTGTGTGTTTTGTAATTTTTTGTTTAAAACTGGACATTTGTATCCAATAATGTGGTAACTCTAGAATCAGATTCTCCTACTTGCCTAGGGTTTGCTGCTTTTTGTTTTTGTTTTTTGTTTTCTTTTGATAGTTGTAGGCTGTCTCTGTGCTAAAAATCATCTTGAACTGTTAATTTAAGATTTTCTCAGGTCTTTTCTGAGCCCGTGTCTTTCGCTGGGAATGTGTGATATCTTTCTAATTACCTGTATATGTGCAATTACTTTTGATTATCCTAGTCTTTAATGTATGGCTCCTAAAGGGGGAAAAGAGAAAAAAATGATTAGAAAAGAAGGTGTTTACTCTTTAAATTCCCTGAAATTTACTTCAGCTAGAGAGAACGGAGGTTACAACAGTGTGGGGAGGGTCAAAACCAATGTTCGCCTGCCTCTTTGTCTATACGTTTATGACTGGAAGCAGCAATCTGTGATCAGATAAAAGATCTTGATATTTAAAGGGCAGTTTGTCTTTTGAACACCCCGGCTCTTGCAAGCTGTGTGCAACTGAATAGGTTGGGGATAGATGTGTAAAGAAGCTATTTTACTATTGAGGTAAATTGATATAAATTCAAATTAGAGTATGATTACTTTAGGTTGTAAAATATAATTCATGTGTTTACCACAAAAAATACCTATAGAAAATACACAATAGAAAATTTAAAAACAAATTAAACATTCACTACAAAAAATTAGCTAAATACAAAAAGAGACAGTAATGCATACCATGAGGAATGCAATAGCTATAAGCTACATAGAAAACAAATAGCTAAAGTAAATAAGTAAGTCCCTTCTTATCAGTAATGACTTTAAATGTAAATGGATTAAACTCTCCAGTCAAAATACAGATTGGCAGAATGTATGAGACCAATGATCTAACTAAATATAATTTACAAGAGACTCACTTTAGAACTAAATATACAAATAGACAGAAAGTAAATAGATGAGAAATGATATTCTATGCACATAGTAGCCAAAAGAAAGCAGGGATGGCTATATTAATATCAAGAAAAATATACTTTAAAGAAAAGATGAGATAAATAAGCAAAAATATATAACAATAATAAAAATTTACAATCCAAATAACAAGAAAATGTTTAAATGAAACTGACAGAATTGAAGGAATAAATAGACAATTTTACAATAATAGTTGGAGACTTCCATAACCCACTGTTTTAATAAATGGAACAACCAGATAGAAGATAAGAAAGGAAATAAGAACATGAACAACATGATAAACCAACTGTATCTAACATATATATAGACCAATCTACCCAACAACAACAGCATACACATTCTACTGAAGTGCACGTGGAAACTTTTCTAAGATTAATAATATATTAGGCCAAAAATTATGTCTCAATCAATTAAGAAAGAAAAATATCATGCAAAATATTTTCTTCAACCACAACAGTATGAAGTTGGAAATCAATAATAGATGTGAAACCAAAAAATTCATTAATATGTGAAAATTAAGCAGTGCATTCTTAAACAACCAATGGATCACATGAGAAATCACAAGGATATTTAGAAGTACTTGGGAATAAATCAAAATAAAAACATAACATACCAAAACTTATGGAACACGATGAGATAATTGCTAATGGGAAATTTATAGTGGTAAAGACTCACATTTAAAAGAAGCAATTTAGATCTTAAATCAACAATTTAAGAAACTTGGGGAAAAAAAGAACAAACTAAGCCTAGAGTTATTAGAGGAAGGAAATAATAAAGATTGGAACAGAGATGAACAAAGTAGAGAAAATCAACAAACCAAAAGATTACTTTGTTGTGGGAAGTCAGGGACCCCAAATGGAGGGACTGGCTGAAGCCATGGCAAAAGAACATAAATTGTGAAGATTTCATGGACATTTACCAGTTCCCAAAAAATACTTTCATAATTTCTTATGCCTGTCTTAATTTAATCTCTTAATCCTATTATCTTTGTAAGCTGAGGATGTACATCACCTCAGGGCCACTATGATAATTGTGTTAACTGTACAAATTGGTTGTAAAACTTATGTGTTTGAACAATATGAAATCAGTGCACCTTGAAAAAGAACAGAATAACAGCGATTTTAGGGAACAAGGGAAGACAACCATAAGGTCTGACTGCCTGCAGGGTTGGGCAGAATAGAGCCATATTTTTCTTCTTGCAGAGAGCCTATAAATGGATATGGAAGTAGGGAAGATATCACTATATTCTTTTCCTAGCAAGGAATATTAATAATTAATACCCTGGGGAAGGAAGGCATTCCTTGGGGGAGATCTATAAATGGCTGCTCTGGGAGTGTCTGTCTTATGCGGTTGAGATAAGGACTGAAATGCACCCTGGTCTCCTGCAGTACCCTCAGGCTTACTAGTATTGGGGAACTCCACCCTGGTAAATTTGAGGTCAGACTGGTTCTCTGGTCTCAAACCCTGTTTTCTGTTGTTTAAGATGTTTATCAAGACAATACATGCATTGCTGAACATAGACCCTTATCAGTAATTCTGCTTTTGCCCTTTGCCTTGTGATCTTTGCTGGACCCTTATCAGGAGTTTGTGATTTTGCCTTTGTCCTGTTTCCTCAGAAGCATGTGATCTTTGTTCTCCTTTTGCCCTTTGAAGCATGTGATCTTGTGACCTACTCCCTGTTCTTGCACCCCCTCCCCTTTTGAAATCCTCAATAAAACTTGCTGGTTTTGTGGCTCAGGTGGGCATCACGGTCCTACCAATATGTGATGTCACCCCCAGCAGCCCAGCTGTAAAATTCCTCTCTTTGTACTATTTCTCTTTATTTCTCAGACTGGCTGACACTTAGGAAAAATAGAACCTACATTGAAATATTGGGGGTGGGTTCCCCCGATATTACTTCTTCAAAAAGAATAATAAAATTGACAACCCTAGAGCTATATGGACTAAGAAAAAAAGAAAGATGAATTACTAAAATAAGAAATTACAGTGGAGATATTGTTCATTACTCCAGATGAAAAAATTATTTAAAATACTATGAATTATCATATGCCAACAAATTGGATAATCTAGATTAAATGAATAAATTCCTAGAAACATGAAGCCAACAAAAACTAAATTACAAAGAAATAGAAAATCTGAAAAGACCTATTTACTAGTGAGGAGATTGAATCAGAAACCAAAAATTTCCCAACAAACAAGAGCCCTGGACCTCATAGCTTCACTGATGAATTCTAGCAGATATTTAAAGAAGCACTAATAGAGTTGGGAAAACTAACCTTTTTTAAGTTTTCCAAAAACATAAAGAAGGAAAACACATCCTAATTCATGTTGTAAAGCCAGCATTGCCAGGATATCAAATTGTCTGTAGGCAAAGACATTGCAGAAAAATAAAAATAGAAACCAATATCCTGTATGAACATTGACGCCAAAATTCTTAACAAAATACTAGAAAATAAAATTCACCAGCATAATTAAAAGAATTATGTACTATGACCCAGTGGAATTTATTTCTGGAGTACAAGGATGCTTCGACACATGAAAATAAATCATGATAATATACCACATTAACAGAATGAAGGAAGAAAACCCACATAATTATTTAAATTGATGCAGAAAAAGCACTTGACACAATTTAGCAATCTTTCATGATTAAAACATAAAAAACTAGGAATTAGAGATAACCCACCTCAACATAATAAAAGTCATATATGAAAAGCTCACTGCAAACATCATGCTTAATAGTGAAAGATGAAATAAAAACTTCCCTTCACGTTAAGAACAGCAAAAGATCCCCACTATTGCCTGCTATTCAACATACTATTGGAAGTTCTAGTGAAGCAATCAGTCAAGAAAATGAAATAAAAGACATAAGAGAAAAGAAGTAAAATTATGTATATTTGCAGATGATATGATCTTATATGTATAAAACACACAATAGAGTATTATTCTGCCTTAAAATGAGGGGAAGTCTTACATAAGTGATGATATGAATGAACCATGAAGATACTGTTCTAAGTGAAATGCAATAGTCATAAAAAGAAATACTGTGTGATTCTACTTATATGGGGTACTTAAGAGTAGTCAAAACCACAGAGACAAAAAGTAGGATGGTGATTTCCAGGGGCCAGGGATAGGGAGCAAGGAGGAGTTAATTTTTAATGAGTATAGAGTTTCAGTTCCTCAAGATGTAATGTTCTGGAGATGGGTGGTGGTGATACTGGCACAACAATGTAAATGTACTTAATGCCACTGAACTGTACACTTAAAAATCGCTGAGATTGTGAGTTTTATGTTATGTATGTTTTACACAATAAAAATTGGAAAAATATCACACAGAGAAGAATAAGGGATTTCATATTTTTAACCTAACTTTCTTTCAGTGTACTCTTCAAGTCATTTCCTACTCCTTTATGAATGCTCCTACATAAAAACAAACTCTTAACTAAGAAAAATACGTACTATTTTGGGTGGCTGTAATATACTACCTCTTCTCACTCTCTTTCAAAGCCTACATTGACATCATTGAGATACCAATGGCTTTCTATTCTCCTTACTATAAAAGATCTGGTGTCATGTGTTTTAAAATGCTTTAAGGTTGTGCCCATCAGCATATACAAGAGCAGAAAATCTACCACACACTACTCTGAGAATCCACCACATATTACATGTTATGTGTTAGATATTACAAGAAGAATAGGGAACCACTCCTACTCATGAAGACTTCAAAGTTTCACAGAAAAAAAATGAAGTTTAAAGACAACTGTAATGTCTCTGAATAAGTAAATATATGGGAATAATATATGGAGTGTTTATGAAGGCACAGAGAAAAATTAGTTGTCTGCAGAAAGCAAATTTGCTTCAAAGGAGCTACTATTTGAACAGATTTTTTAATGTAATAAATCACTAGACAAGAAGGAGAGAAAAAGATAGTCTAACAAAATAAGCAATTTGCACTAAAGGACAGAAGTATGATTTAGACAGGACAGCCTGGAGACCATTGTTTCTGGGCATGATTCTTGTAAACATACATTGTGAAAGAGGAAGACAGTTTAGTAAATAAAAACAGATATATGAGAACCAGTCTTTGAAAGTTCTATATTAAGTTGAGGAGCTTGATCTTTGCTGTAGAGACAATAAAAAACCAGATAACCTTTTAAAAAGTAAAGAAACATATACCACATTGTGTTTTAGAAAAGTAGATTTAAGCATATTAGTCAGGGAGAATGGGTGAAGTAGGTATCATGCCACACTTGGGGTAATAATGAATGTGGTTTTGTTGCTGGTAGGCTGGTTCAGGTTCTCGACTTCACTGCACAAAAGAATTTGAGAGCAAGTCCAAAGTAAGAGTAGGCAAAAAAGTTTATTGCAAAGTAGAAGTATACTTTTGACAGCTAGGTCAGGGCTGGTTGCTGGAGAATGAGACAGTGCTGACTAGCACTGGGGAAACTTCTTTTATGAGAGTCTTACATGATTATTCACAAAGGGGCAGGAATGTTGTTAAGCATTGTGTGGGTGGTCTATTGGGTCCGCATGCAGCATCACTGTAAATGGTAGTACGTACATGACTTGTCTCATTAGTATTTTAAATCTCCATCCAAGGGTATATTTTTACTATTATTATGAGCAAAGTTCACCATAAGGATATGGTTCTCTGCTACTATGCATGCTTGGTCTTTCGGACTTTCTTTAACAGTCATTCCTCTTTGAACAAGGAAGCTGCCAACCATAGGTGACCACAGACATTGCCCTAGCCCCTTTCTGGAACATCTGTTTTTGACTGGGGTCCTTGTATTAACCTATTTGACCCTGTTTGTATTGCTGTTAGCCACCTGCAAGTGATCATGTCTTATTCCTTCACTAACTGCCTGACTCATTTTCCCCCTCAGAGAATTTAGGGCCCATAATCATATAGGTCATTGAGGGGCTAGGTCATTTCTTCTGTGACTTCCAGAAGCTTAGAGGGCCTGTAGTTTCTGCCTAGCCTGGGCCCAAAATTCTCTCCCTGCCTGATCTAAAGTTTCTAAAGGTCTTTTCTCCACATGTGGATGAGGAACTGGCTGGTATCCCTGTAACAATATTACTGTTAATGAATTAACAGTAATCATTATATTTGATATATTATTAATAATTAGTATAATATAATATATTAATTATAATATTATTAATATAAACAGTAATATTAGATGGAATTATTGTAATCTAGAAAAAACAAGTTTTACAGGAAGTTAAGCAAGCAAGGACCAAAAATTAGCAGTAATAAGATAACTATTAAAAGTCTGAACATAATTATATTTAGTAGAGATAAAAGAAGAAAGCTGTAGAAAAACAAAGAGGGCTCCTATAAAGAGAACTAAGATGGGGCTACCTTATGTTGAGGTAATAGCAATCTCTTTAGTCTTGGGTTCTGTGTTTACTTTTGAGAATTATACCCAGTAAGGGCACAGTTATTGCTTCCCACAGGTGGGACAAACTCACATCAGTAAAAGTAAAAGATGAACAGGCAGAGAATTAGGAAGATTAATACTACCTCCAACCTTATTCAGAGCATCATTTTGTAGTAGGAGGCTCCCAAGGATTCCTTCTGAAAAGGAGCATAGAGTTTTTTTAATTTTTTATTTATTTATTTTATTTTACTTATTTATTTATTTATTTATTTTTAAGACAGAGTCTCTCTCTGTCACCCAGGCTGGAGTGCAGTGGCATGATCTCGGCTCACTGCAGGCTCTGCCTCCCGGGTTCATGCCATTCTCCTGCCTCAGCCTCCCGAGTAGCTGGGACTACAGGTGCCCGCCACCACACCCAGCTAATTTTTTGTATTTTTAGTAGAGACGTGGTTTCACCGTGTTAACCAGGATAGTCTATATCTCCTGACCCTGTAATCCGCCAGCCTCGGCCTCCCCAAGTGCTGGGATTACCGGCGTGAGCCACTGCACCCGGTCAAGCGTAGCTCCCAGGAGTATTCCAGATCTTCAGTTGTTGATAGAGAATCCTGTGGAGGTTAAGGCGAAACAGATTTTATTCTAGAGAAATGTACTCAGCTGGCAATTCCTGGTAGTTTATGTTTGAAGTACTCAGAAACACTTGGTATGGATCTTCCTATTTTGTTAGAAGTTGGTCATCTGGTGACCTTTTTTTCATGTTTTCATGTAAATCATGTCTCCTGGTCTGACCCTGGGGATGACTTCTCCCTCAGAGTCAGGCTCAGGAAGGCCCTGGTTCCTGGGGTAGAAAAGAAGTCTTGCCCCAGTAAAGGAGTGAATCATTCTGGCATGACTAGAAATTTGTAATTATCAGGTAGTGTCAGTCTACTAGTTATAGGAAAAATAAATGGTCTTCTTTGGGGTTTGCCACTAACTACAGTGACAATGAGGAAACTAGAGGATAGAGGTCCTGAGTGGCAGGTCAAAACAAAAAGACAGGCTCCCATGTCTAACAAGAAATCACAATTCTTGACAGAACTAGAAAAAAACAATCCCAAAATTCATATGGAACTAAAAAAGAGCCCATAGAGCCATAGCAATACTAAGCAATTAGAACATATCTGGAGGCATCACATTACTCGACTTCAAATTATGCCACAAGGCTATAGTTACCAAAACAGCATGGTACTGGTATAAAAATAGGCCTGTACACCAATTGAACAGAATAGATAACCCATAAATAAAGCCAAATACATACAACAAACTGATCTTCAACAAAGCATACAAAAACAAAAAATGGGGAAAGGACACCCTATTCAATAAATGATGCTAGGAAAACTGTCAAGCCACATGAAGAAGAATGAAACTGCATCCCCATCTCTGAATGCCAAAAGAGAGTTGCTTATACTAAAAGCAACACAAGATAGATCAAAGACTTAAACCTAAGACCTGAAATCATAAACAATTCTAGATGATAGCACCAGAAAAAACTCTTCTGGACATTGGATTAGGCCAAGAATTTATGACTAAGACTCCAAAAGCAAATGCAACAAAAACTAAATAAATAAATGGTACCTAATTAAACTAAAAAGCTTCTGCACAGCCAAAGAAATAATCAGCAAACAGACAACCCACATAACAGGAGGAAATATTCACAAACTATGCATCTGACTAAGGAGTACTATCCAGAATCTACGAGGAACTCAAATGAATCAGCAAGAAAAAAACAAATAATTCCATCAAAAAGTGGACAAAACATGAATAGACATTTCTCAAAAGAAGAGATACAAATGGCCAACAAACATGAAAAAATCCTCAACATCACTAATCATCAGGAAAATGGAAATTAAAAACACAATGAGATATCACCTTACTCTTGTAAGCATGGACATAATTAAAAAGTCAAAAAACAATAGATGCTGGCATGGATGTGGTCAAAAGGGAACACTTTCACACTGCTGGTGGAAATGCATATTAGCACAAACACTGTGAAAAACAATATGGAGATTCCTTACAGAACTAAAAGTAGAACTGCCATTTGATCCAGCAATTCCATTCCTGGGTATCTACCCAAAAGAAAAGAAATCATTGTATTAAAAAAGACACATTTACATGCATGTTTATAACAGCACAATTTACAATTGCAAAGATATGGAACGTATCTGAGTGCCCATCAACCAATGAGTGGATAAAGAAAATGTGATATATATATACCATGGAATATTATTCAGTCATAAAGAGGAACAAAATAACATCTTTTGAAGCAACTTGGATGGAGCTGGAGGCCATTATTCTGAGTGAAGTAACTTAGGAGTGGAAAACCAAATATCACATATTCTCATTTATAAGTAGGAGCTAAGCAATGGAGATGCAAAGGCATAAGAATGATATAATAGAATGTCAGGACTCAGAGTGGGGAAGGTTCCGAGGGAGGGCAAAGGATAAAGACTACATATGTGGTACAGTGTACACTGCTCGGGTGACAGGTGCACTAAAATTTCAGAAATCACCACTAAAAAGCTCATCCTTGTAACCATAAACCACCTGTACCCCCAAAATTATTAAAATTTTTAAAAAAGAAATTTTCAAAACTAAAAAAAAAATCAATATGTTGCCTGCCACATCTAAACTTCATTAGTAATAAGAATCTTTTGGAATGGGGAGCTGTCAGGAGCTTTAGCCTCCTCCAGTCCTCACTTATGGTCAGTATAGCATTGGGTGCACCTTTCTCGCTTTGGAGTTAAGAACAGTTCCTCTTCCAGTTGCCTTTTCTTTTGCACTGAGGACAAGGTCCAGGTGGGATACCTTGACGGGGACAATTCTTGCTTGAGTGTCCTGGCTTCCTGCATATATAGTAATGGTCTCTTTGGCCTCATTAAAGTGGCCTTGCCCAGGGCAGCCTCATGTTGGCGGGTTGCCTGTCATGGCTAAGGCAAACAACTGTGCCTCCTGCTTGTCTCTTTCCTCTTCACATTGATCCCACTGAGCCTCTTCCACTCTGTTATGATTGTTGAAGATGTCAAATGCTACATTTACTAATTCATTCTTTGGGGTCTGGGGACCCATGGCTATTTTTTGTATTTTCCTCCTAATGTCTGTGGCAGACTGACTAATGAAGTGTGTCCCTAAGAGGACTGCCCTGCCTCAGAGATAGAGTCCACATTGGTGTATTTCTTTACTGCCTCTACAAGGTGTTTCTGAAACAATGTGGGATTCTCATCCTTTCCCTGAATTATTTCTTTGTTTATTGTAGTTATCTGGTTGGGTAGCCTACTTCCTCATTTCTTCTAAAAGATATTTTATGATCCTGTTTCTCCTATGCAAGTCTCTGCTACCCTCTTGGTAGTTCCTGTTAGGGTCCTGGTTGGGGACTGCAATGCCCCTACACGGTGAGTGACATCTAATGCATGTTTCCTGTCAGCATGGGCTTGTGCCTTGGCCCAGATTCTTTGCTTTTCCTCGTGTGTGCAACTGGTGAATAGAATCACATGCATGTCCTCCCTCCCATGTAAGTTCAAATGGCAGAGATAGAGCTTGGAATATTTCTATATACTTAGTGGGGCCCCTTTGAGAGCTGTCCTAGCCTTTGTTTGCACTGACCTAAGACTGACATAGAAAAAGGGACATGAAATCACATAGTTCTGGTTTCCCTATTCACCACTTCCCTAAGGAGAAACAACTTGGATTGAGTTGGAAAGTCCCTGTGAGACTTGAGTCCTCTGGTAAAAAACCATAAATAGGTTGATAAGGAGAAGGTAAAGGCAAAGCAGGGGTTTGAGGACTGAAAGTATTAGAATCCCCTGAAAAAGTCAAAACAGGGATAAGTGGTGTTGGTTCTGGGCTTAAAGATGGGGAACTTGAAGGAAGAAAGTTACCTAACATGGGGTCATTCATTATGTCCAGCTCCTTCAAACCCCTTTGAGTCAAGTCAGCATGACACATCCTGCACTGATCTCTAAGGGGTTTGTCTTGGTACTGAGCCATCAAGGCTTGTACATAGAGAATTTCAGACAATTTCCCTTCCCTTTTACAAAGTGAATCCACTTGCAGGATGGATTATATTTTAGTGCCTCACTGGTTGCCCAGACCTCCTGAGATTCTAATGGAGGTTTTGACTAAACAGTGTTACAATAAAAGATGAACTTCTTTCTTTTTAGTCATCGAGTTTGAAGTATGCCCAATTGTGCAGAATGTGCTCAAGTGAGGACACTGTAGGGACTAAGAATTGATTTCTCATTTGACCTTTTAAGGATATGCTGATGGAGAAATCACTGTCTTTTTATCAACCTACAGGTTCTGGCATTAAGAGTCTCCCACATAGATTAGATTTGTCCTTCACCTGACCCAAAAAAGAGAGAGAAAGAAACTAGAAAGGTGCACTGATGGGAAAATAGGAGTCCAGTCTTGCGGTCAAGCCAGGGATATCATGTGTCACTGTCCTCTTAGACTTACTGCCCAGCACT